>NW_018654717.1:3050137-3351718 GCF_000001405.40 Homo sapiens
AGAAGAGAGAGCCGGTGAGCTGTGGTGAGATGCCAGCAGGTAGTGGTGAGGAGTCAGATTGTCAGGGTTGGCCTCCTGGCTCTGCTGCTGGGCAGGTGCATGACCTTGGCGGGGTCTGGGAGAGGAGGCAAAGCAGGTCCACACCACAGCTCCCTGGCAAATGAGCCATGCCTTTCCTCGGGACCCACACCCATGCTGGGGGGGCCTTTATCTACCCAACCACTCTATGCACAGTTTCTTCACCTGCAAACTGGGTGATTAGTGCCTGGCACATGGGACTTAAGTCTCTACATCTTATATTATTCTCAGTTGTATTATCATAATTATTCTCTAATCAGCCGTGATGACATGGGGAAAATTGGAATAGAAGTCACAAGAAGTAGCTTAAACCATCATTCCAACACAGAGTTTAATACCTTTTTGACTGTGATCCCGGGTGTCCTACTTTTTTAGATGGGAATAAAATATCTCTGTGACAAAACAAAGATTAAATGAGGTCATCTGTGGGAAAGTATTTGGGAAGCGTAAGGCTCTCCATACACAAACACGAGGTTTCTATTGTTATTGCTATTAACCTTTCGTGTTTCCGTACAAGGATGCCGCCCCCATTAGGACTCAACTCTAGGAGAAAACACAAGATTTAAGGACGCCTCCTTCTTATCAAACTGAATTTTATCTCTGTAAGTGCCTCACTCCAATTTATCCATTCATTCATTCTTCATTCATTCTAGAAGTCTCAGTTGTGTGTACTACTGGTCTGGGCACTGAGCTTCCTCTGCTGGAGACTGCAGCTCAGCCTTCATCCACACCCTAGAAAGGCCCAGATTCTCACTCTTTTGATGAAGTGGCAAAAGGGAAAAATCGCATTTCTCAAAGCGATTACCCAGTCTAGAATCAGAATTTTTCTAATTCTTTTTCTTTTCTAGTTTCTTATTAAGCCAGGTTTAATGAGCAAGTGTTTAATCCAGGCAGAAAGACACCTCCGAAAGAGGGGCTACAGGAGCAAGAGCTGAGGCTGGAATCTTGCCTCCCTGGAGAGGCCGTTTCCCATGGCACCCTGTCAACGACTTCCTCTGACAAGAACCTTTGTCCACCAGAGTCCATGAGACCTGGGAGAGGGCAGAGGCACCGGGGCTGAGCTGGAGGAGAGGCTCCCACTGCTGCCTGGGCTGCAGATCCAGAGTACAAGTCCACCTCTCCAGGGGGTGCCAAGTGACCACAGGCTGGGACACGCTGCCAGCATCATGGAACATGATGGCAACTCAGACTGGAGTTGAGAATGACACCCCAAGTTCTCCATAGAAATGGTGGTGCTTCGCCAGCAGGGAAGCAGGTCTTATGTAGACAAGATTTGGGAGGGAGGCCGAGCAGAGCCGTCAGAACCAAGAGCAGCTCGGCCTGCGTGGGGTCCCAGGTGGGGCTCATCTAGAAGGACCAAGGGGGCCTCCAAGGGTCACTGGGCCAGCAGTCTAGGCCCACGTGGTCTGTGTAGATCCCCAGGTCCCTGTGTGAGAAGGAAGGAGTAAGAACGAGAGCAGAGCCTGTGCCTTCCGGAGAGGCTTCGTGGGGACAAGAAATGGGAAATGAGAGAGGCAGCGCAGTGCGACGGTCCCCCAGCAGGTTCCTTAAAGGTGTGTGTCCACTGCTTGAGCCTTGAAGTCAGGTGGAGCTGAGGCCATGGTGCCCAGCTGAGGAGCAGGCGTCCCTGAGAACCCAATGCCCCGGAACTTATCTGAGAACGTAGCAAGACAAGCAGTCTCATTGCCCAAACACAGTAGGCAAAGAGCCAGGAAATTAGCTTAAAGGCAGTTTAGAGACGGGAGCAGCAGAGATCTCTAGATCTGTCCTGCCGCCCAGGAGTGCCTGCTATGTAAGTCCTAATAAACTCATCTATCGCCAAGCTGGACTTGTCCAAGTCATTCTTTGGTCTCTCAGCAACCTCCCAGTTTCAGGGAAGGTCTTTCTATTCAATCCAGGTTTTTCTCATACCAGAGACACAGAAATGAGGCCCACAGGCAAGACCTGTGCACAAAGCCCCCGCCCCCACCCCTCCCAAGCCGGCCCTGGTCCCGGTGCTCAGGGTTCCTGGACTCTGTGCTGCTGTGGGGAAGGTTAGGGGAGGACAAACAACTGGTTCCTCAGAAAACAGCCCAGCTGAGTGGGTGCCCCTCCAGTGTGAACTGGGCTCTGCTGTAGCCCGCAGTGCAATGACAGCCCTGTGCAAGGAGGTCGGTCACACTGTTCCCCCACGTCCCTACCAGCCATAGACTGCCACATTGCAGTCAGCAGGATACCTATCTAGACAGATGGCTGGGCACCACCCAGACCAAAGGAGCATGGAGAGGAGAGCTCAAGAACTCGGTTTGGGAGCCAGAGTGCCCGAGTTGCCACCCTGGTCACTTAGCAGCTGTGTGACTTTGGCAAAGCTTCTTCCTCTATGGGCTTTAACTTCCTTAACTGCAAAATGGGGACACTGATAGCACCCACCTCAGGGGACTGTCCTGATGATTAGCTCAAAACTCCACGGGAGGCATTTGAGCAGTCTGGCCCAGCACAGGCAGAATAACTCAGCCGGTATCACCTTTCTTCATGGCAGCGTTGCTAGTATCATTTGACTGCTACTGTGACTTGGTTCCCAATGTCCTTGGTCAGGGAATCTATGTCTAAAAGTTTCCCAAAATGATTCTTTTTAAAAATTATTTATTTATTTATTTAGAGATAGAGGAGTCTCACTCTCTTGCCCAGGCTGGAGTGCAGTGGTGCAATCTCGGTTCACTGGAACCTCCACCTCCCAGGTTCAAGCAATTCTGCCTCAGCCTCCTAAGTAGCTGAGATTATAGGTGCATGCCACCATGCCTGGGTGGTTTTTGTATTTTTAGTAGAGATGGGGTTTCGCCATGTTGGCCAGGCTGGTCTCAAACTCCTAACCTCAGGTGATCCTCCCACCTCGGCCTTTCGAAGTGTTGAGATTACAGGCATGAGCCACCATGCCTGGCCCAAGATGATTCTTAGTGTTAAGGAAAGGTTGTGAACCACTGGTCTAGAGCGCCACAGATCCCTGAGTAGCCAGCTCTCAGCCTGTGCTCTCCTGTGTCCCAGCACCTGCTGCCCCAGTCATCAGGAGACTCACAGGAGCCCCAGAGGGCAAGGAGGAAGAGAAGGGGAAGGAAAGGGAGGGAGGAGAGGGAAGGGGAGGAAGCAGGAGGGGAGGAAGGAAACAGGAAAGGAACCCTTTACGGAGACCTGCAGTACAGCTGAGGAAGAGGTTGGGGAACCAGAGACACGTCAGACCTTTCTTCGCTGTCCAGATGATTCCCTAGTAACAGTCACCACAGTGCTATCCAAAACACAGTGCTCGTCCAAAATCATTCAAATATCAAGTGGGGGAGGCTGGACTGAGGCCCAGGCTAAGATGCTCAGAGATGCAGATGTCTGGAGGAGAGCATTGGTGGGCGCTAAGCAGTCACGCCTGAGCAGTCACACGCATACCGGGACGTCAGACGCACACGGAGGAAGCGGTCACGGCAGATGACTTGTGGGGCGGGGAGGGCATCCAAAGCAAGAGCAGGAATCCAAATGGAAGCAGTAGCTCATCTTTGTTGTTGCAAAGCCACAAAGTGGCTCATGAGCTTACCCACGCACCTGGCCACCATGGGAGCTGCTTAGCTGGCCCATCATAGGGATGGCGCACCCCTGATGCAATCCTATAGGGACAGGAACCTCAGACTCTGCCTTCAGACAGTGTCCTGTGCCCTGCAAAGCCTCTAGATCCATAGACTCATGTCAGCATTGCAGCCACCCTTGGCCATTGGGGTAAATGCTCCTATGTCCATTTTACTGAGAGGAAAGCCAAGGCTCAGAGCTCACGAGGGACGGAGACAACCCCAAGCCTAGCCAGAGGCCAACAAGCCCTCCTCCTTGCTGCTTCTCCACACCTGTCATCTCTGTCCCCTTCCCTGGGGCCTACAGGAGCCCTTGGCTGGCCACTAGGGCCCTCCATCACTGGTATGACAGCAACCTGGTTTCCCCCACCCTCCCCAGGCCAGGCTAACCCCTCACACCCACCACCGGCTCCTGCTGTCCCCAGCCTGTAGGGCTCGCCCACCAAGCCCTCTCTGCCCTCAGGGTCACCCCAGGTCCTGCTGTCCCCAGTCCACAGTGTCCCAGGCTACCCACAGTCCAAGCCCTGCCTGCTTTCAGGGTCCCCTCGAGTCTTGCTTCCTCCAGGAGGCTTCTCTGAGCTGGGGACCCCAGGAAGAGGCGCTGTGCAGGGAGAGAGCCCGGCCAGTGCGATTCTGTGGGACTGACTTTGTCAGAGCAGGGCTCCTCCACTGAGTCACCTCCCCTGGGGTCCCCCACCGGGTGGCTGTGAAGAGGACCGACGGTGGAGGGAGCAGGCAGAGTTCAGCAAGGGCAGGGAGAGGAGATGCAAAAAGTGGTGTTTCCTTCCACACCCGGCCCTGCCGCCCCATCTTATTCTACTTGGGATCAGTCCCATGCGGTGCAACCTGTGAGTGCTCAGTGCTTACAAGTATGTGCTTAGTGACAGTGGCTCTCCTCTGTAGGCCCCAGGACTGGGCATGTGATGTGATGTTAATAAAGACGTACGGGCCGGAGGAGCCCTCGTGCTGCATCTGCCCACCACTCACTTATCCTTCATCCGGACGGGGCATCTGTATGGACCCCAGCTCCATTCACCTGCCAATGACCAGTCCCTAGATGGAATCCCACATGCACACTGGACTCCAACCCTCTGTCCCTAACCACTGAATTCTACGGAAACCTCACTACAAATCCTAAAGTGGATGTGGCTACTATGCAGAGAAAGGTATTAGACACAGCTAATGCGACTAGAATACTTTACTGTATGGGCCAGCACCATTTTATTTATTCATTAATAAATACTGATCAAATGCCTGCTAAGCTCCATGCACGGTGCTGAGCACTGAGGATTCCACGGTGACTAATGTAACGATGGTGACAACAAACAACCCTTGTGCCACGGGAACTGCCTAGAGTCCGAGTCCAGGTAAGAAACTGATCTTTAAAATAAAAAGACTTGACTTAGTTTATTTATCCTATAAGCAAGATGGAGGGGAGAGGGAGACACAGTAATTTTTTTTCATTAAATAATAACCATTCTTCAACCTCCCTCATCCTTTCCCTGCCAGCCAGACTTATCCAAACCGTTAAACCAAATCAAAGAGCACACAGAATGATCCAGGTGTTTGAAGGGAGAAAGGGGCGAGGGTGGGTGAATAATACCTCCCCTTTTCCCACACGAGATTCAAAACACTACTTTTCTCTTGCTAATTAACTACAAAGAGGTAAGATGTCAGCTCGGTTTCATCTCCAGCTCCTGCGGATAGAAAATGTGATTTCCAACAATGTACTCATTATAAAAAAAAAATCCTAATACATCAAAATTGGATGCCCTGTGGAGTTCATTATAGGATTTGAGGAGTGTCTATACTGTCATTTTATCTTGGCTTTTTTTTTCTTTTGTCTCATTCGTCACTTAAAGTGTCCGACGAGAAACATAAGCTTTAAAAAGCATCCTATTGATTGAAAAGTAGAAAAAAAATACTGGTGGAGCAATTGTGAATTTTTTGTTGTTGTTGGCCCGCCATGGGGAGACACGATGGAGAATTTATGATCCTCTGCTGTATATTTTATACAGACATATCCTTCAGAGATTATGCTCTCAGAGGAGTGCCATAAACACAGCTCAGTACTGGATCAAGAAAAGTCTTCAAGAAAGCAGTCAATGGCAACCGTTAATTCTTTGTGCACTGGAGGTTTCTAACTGGTACAAAGAAAACCAGTACGTAGAAGTAGGTAACTAGGATAGCAGTGAGCCACTCCCTAGTTTCTGTATCCAACCTGCTGATTTCAGAGGCTGGCCTTCGCACCCAATGCTAACCCTTTGAGCTGGATTTTCCAGAATAAGAAGGGTACAAAAGGACCTGTGCCCATTTTCTAGACTGGCACCAAACTCCCACTCTGCTGCGAAACAGGCAGGGATGATAAGATATGGGCAAAACCAATCTGTCAAGCAGGGACCATGGTATCCCTGCAGCCAAGAGAACCAATGCAGTTTATTAAATGGCCTTTTAATATTAACAAGGGTATTGCACACTGAGAAACTATGATTCCTTGATGCTACTGAATTATACCACCAAGTTTAAAAAGAGGTCTGTGTGTGCCTTGTTGTCAGTGGGCTACACAAGGAGAGTGGTTCACAATTTAACAACTTAGAAATCCTTGTGGAACTCTGAAACATACTCTCACGCCTCCCCCTCCACCCCACCAATGGAATTCCGATACAGGAGAGCTGGGGGCAGGCCTGGCATATGCATTCTCACAAAGCCCCATGGGTGCTTCTGATGCAAAGCTGGGAAAGGAACCACGAACTTGGGCATCTGATGTATGTGGCTAAACCACAAAGGAGGAAATGGACAGAACATTTTTTTTTTTCAACAAAGTCTCAGAATTGTAAGGGACCTGAAAGGTCATCTAGCCAAATGGCATACTATATAGTTTAGCCCACTCCAACCTCCAGATGACCATTTCAAGACAGGGCACTCTCTAATTCTCAAAGTAGTTCATGCCACTATTGGGATGTCCTAATTGCTAGAAATCCATGCCTTTATTAAGTCAACTTCTGCCTCCTCCTACTCACAGTCCAGGCAGTGCTTCTTGGGACCTGCTCACTCCTCCACGATGGCTTTTAAGAAGGCTGAAGGCATTTACTACGGGCAAGTAAATGGCACTGACTTTGGAGTCTGAAGAACCACATTGAGTTTTTCTACATTTGAGGGCATAATCTGCTAGAGAGGCCACTTAACTTCTCTTAGCCACAGGCTGCTCATCTATAAAATGGGCATACTAATATCTGTCCTATCAATCTTAGAAGATGGTTAAGAGCAATAACAGACATAAAGGGGAAAGCACAAAGCACTTTGGGAACTTACCAGTGGTAATCAAATCTTATAACTCCATATACTAATAATGATCAACCATGGCATCGCAGAACTTCACAATGAGATGCCAGAAGACTTCAAATGTTTAGGATCTATGTTAGTACAAACAGAACAACATGGACGGCTCTCCAAGCAAAGATAGGTTTCTCTGGGTAAGTTGTCAAGCGTACGTTTTCCTAAAAGTGTCTGTGTTCCACCTCAGAGTTAAAAGACAACTAGAGAGGCCCTACGAGCATGATAATAGAAGGGGTCTTTGAAATCAAGTCCAATATGTTTTCATATTCTTCAAAAACTGTTCTAAACTCTCCATGCGATGGATGAGAAAAGGCACTCCATACCATTTGATAGCACAACAGGGTGACTATAGTCAATAATTTAACTGTACATTTCAAAATAACTAAAAGAAAATAAATGGATTGTCTGTAACACAAAGGATAAATGCTCGAGGGGATGCAGACCCCATTCTCCATGATGTGATTCCTACACACTGCATCCTGTATCAAAACAGCTCATGTACCCCATAAATATATATACCCACTATCTTGATACACAAGATAATATGCCTATCATCTCGTATACCCCATAAATGTACCTACTATGTACACACAAAAATTAAAAAGAAGGCTGGGTGCAGTGGCTCATGCCTGTAATCCCAGCACTCTGGGAGACCGAGGTGGACAGATTATGAGGTCAAGATATCAAGACCATCCTGGCCAACATGGTGAAATCCGTCTCTACTAAAAATACAAAAATTAGCCAGGCATGGTGGCGGGCACCTGTAAACCCAGCTACTCCAGAGACTGAGGCAGGAGAATGGCTTGAACCTGGGAGGCAGAGGTTGCAGTGAGCCGAGATCATGCCACTGCACTCCAGCCTGGCGACAGAGCGAGACTCCATTTCAAAAAAATAAGATAAAGTAAAATAATTCAAAAAGAAAAAAGGAAAAAAAAAAAAGAAATGGCACTCCTATTGAAGCTCACCACTTCAAACACCGTGGCTGCTTGCACCATTTTTGCCAGAGAGCTACTTCACGTCATCCAAAGACAATGAAAATTGCCTATTCATTCTGCACATTAGCCACATTATAGTTGCTTTTTAAGTGTATATGGTGGTAACATATTCTCCCAACTTGGATAGTACATTATTTACAAATAGCTCACATAGGAAGGATGTGGCAGGATTGCTCAGGAAGCATGGCTCTAACTAAACTATTAATAATAAATGTAAGTACATTTTTAGTCTAAATTTTTTTTAAAAAATGGAACTAAGAACTTCAGATTTGTTTATAACTCAGACCCACACTGAAACACTGTTGCTGGTCTGAGGAAAGTCTTGGCCTTGCCTCCTAGACAGTGCCAAAAGCATCAGTTATTTTACACCACAGCCCCCCAAAAAAAATCAGTCCAACAGCTTTATCTTAAAAGCATGCCAACACAACAAGCAACTGAGGCTTAAGAACTTTATAATCGACTATGTACATATCAAATAGGAACTCTTTAGAATATCTGCACAGCACCAAACCACCTGATTCTATAAATTATGATTTCTCAATAAGGGTGGTGTCACTTCAAGGGGGCAAAAATCGGTTCTTGGGGGACAAAAATATCTTACATATGAAAATGGCTACGGCTTCTAAAGGGCCACAGTAACTAGTGGTATATAGTATATCTGTGGTATTAAATTTAATGGAAGGGGACTGGGGGAGACAAGAGAGAAATGTCTAAAAAGGCCGCTTAGGGCGACTATAATTTTTTTAAAGCCTGAAAAACAGTAGTCTGATTCAATCAAATATCAGTACAATCAAAATGGTGACCAAACCAACTATAATTCCAGCCTCATTTTCACTTTTGTATGGGGCTCGTAATCCAACATCACAACCACAGGAGGGATTCATTCACTAAGTATTTACTAAACCCTAGCATGAGCTCTGAGCACTCTCTGGGATGCAGCCAAAACAGGATTAAGACAGGTCCCGACCTCAAAGAGCTCACAGTCTAGGAGGGCAGAGAAACAAGCAAATGGCAACTCCAGGATGAAGCAATTACTGCTGGAGAAGGGTAGGCTCAGAGTTCAGTGACACAGCTTGAGAACGCAGGGACGACTTTACAGAGGAAAGGGTGACTCTAGTGCTCTACCATGGTCCCCTTGACCCCTGGGTCTCCCTTATTCTTGGCAACTTCACACCTGTAGGATATCCAGGTCTGAAACAAAAATGGAGAGCATTCAGCTAGACTACGTGCCTTTGCCTGTCGTTATTTTAACTTATGAGGGAAACAAAGCCCTGAGCAAAAATTCACCAGACCAAGACACTAATAGTAAGTCCAACGCATGAGAACGGTGTGTGTCTCAAAGGGGTTCTCTCAGTAACAAACACCAGAGGCCCCACTTCTGGACTTAGGTAGCTTGTTCTGTGTTATTCCGAACTCTGCACTGGACTTTTCCTGACTTGAGATTCCTGGTTACTCTGTAAGCGTGGGATGATGATGATACCTTAGATTGGTGTAACACTTTTGTAGCTCATGAAATGCTTTCATATGCATTAATTGCGTATTAAATCTTCATGGGAACTCCATGTATTATGATGTCTGTTTTACATTTCAAAGATGAGAAAACTAAGCCTCAATGAGGCCAAATTATTTGCTTAATTCAGGTCATTCAGGGCCCAGTAGGTTTGATTCCATAATTTCATGCTTTCTCCCCATAAACATTGGAGCTAATGGTAACTACTAAATTATTGCTACCAATGACTTCGTATAGATGCAGACTCGGCTGTAATTTGATTGATATTGGGAATCTTTTAGCCTTGACTAGTAGATCTCTGATGATGGTCAGTAATTAATGTAGGAGCCCCAAGACATGCCCTCAGGAACACACCAAACGTTTCAACAATGAAGTGCTGGGAAACTGTGCCAAGGGCATTGGCACTGTAGCTAGAATATTTGATTTGGACGAATCGCTTAACCTCTCTGAGTCTCGACTTCCTTGTCAGCACAGCAGTTATAATAAAAACGCCAAAAAGGTACGCTATAAAGATTACATTATACACGTGTGTGCACACACATGTGCGTACACACAGGCTTTAACTATAAAGTGTGCTGATACTTAGTTTCTCTACTCATTCTCTCTGTCCCAGCCGGACAGGCCAGGAATTCAATACATGTGAGCCTTCAATCTTGGCTTGAAGCCAATGATAGGAGACATCCAAAGACATGTGATACACTGAGCCTGCTCTTGGAGAACTCACCCAAACACTGAAAACACAGGATAGAAAGTGTTAGGTGCCATGGGAGGGGCACAGACAAGTGCTTTGGTTTAATGGAGACAGTATATCTAACTGGATGTTTGTATTAGTCTGTTTTCATGCTGCTGGTAAAGACATACCCAAGACTGGGCAACTTACAAAATAAAGAGGTTTATCCTACTTACAGTTCCACATGGCTGGGGAAGCCTCAAAATCACAGTGGGAGGCAAGGAGGAGCAAGTCACATCTTACATGGATGGTGGCGGCAGCAGGCAAAGAGAGGAGTGCTTGTGCAGGGAAACTCCCCTTTTTATAACCATGAGATCTCGTGAGACTTATTCACTATCATGAGAACAGCACCAGAAAGACCTGCCCCCATGATTCAATTACCTCCCACCAGGTCCCTCCCACAACACATGGGAATTCAAGATGAGATCTGGGTGGGGATACAGTCAAACCATATCAATGTTGAAAAACGGGAACTACTTAGACACACACAGGTAGAGGTAAGAGTGCTTCAGATGTTGAAAATGACGAGCACCATAACACAGGAAGAAGATCCTAGAATGGACAGGATGGCTTAGATTAAATAAGCCACACCATTCCTGCTGGCAGACACGGTGCCCAGTGCCCACAGTATCAGAACCCCACAGCTCCCTCTGACATGCCTGCACCAAGAAGCTCCCTCCAGCTGAGGGGTACCCTTACCCAATTAGTTGTGACTGTTCCCAAACTGGTTTAGGCCAATTGCACTTTATCTTCTAATTAGAAATTTTAATTAAATGTCACACATACAGAAATAAAAGCAGAAGAAGAAATACAGCTTTGTTTCTATTAAAATTAATATTTAATTTTGTTTTAAAAAAAGAACAAAACTGTCATTTAAGATAACATAGATAAGCTTAGATGACATTTTATGAACTGAAACAATCCAGGCATAGGAAGATAAATACCGCATGTTCTCTCTCATACGTGGAAGCTGAAAAAGTTGATCTTATAGAAGTAGAGAGTAGAGTGGTTACCAGAGGCGGGGAAGGAGTGGGGGGAAGGGGATATAGGGAGAGACTGGTTAACAGGTACAAAATACATTGAGATGGGGGGAATAAGTTCCAGTATTCCAGAACCCTACAGACTGACTATAATTAACAATCATTTATTGTATATTTTCAGACAGCTAGAAGAGCAGCTTTTGAAGGTTCCCAACACAAAGAAATGATAAACGTCTGAGGTGATGGATATGCTAATTACTCTGATTTGATCATTACACATTGTATACATGTATGGAAACATCACCCTGTACTCCATAAATAGGTACCATTTTTAGGTGTCAAATGAAAATAACAAAACCAAAAAATAAAAAATAAGGGAAATGCTTTAGAAAGCTTAATAAAAGAAAGTTGTTAAAAATACTGTCAAATTAAATGCAGGCAAGACTACTCCGTAAGATTGGGAAGGGTGGCTGTCAAGGGCTCGGAGAAGGCGGATGCAGAATTGGTGGTGAATGGTCACAGAGTTTTGGTTTTACAAGATGAAGAGAGCTCGAGGAGTGGATGGTGGTGATGACTGCACGACGAAGGGAATGGGCTCCATACTGCTGAACAATACACTTAAAAATGGCTGTTAGTAATTTTTATGTTATGTGTATTTTTCCAGCTTTTTTTTTTTTTAAAGAAAAAAAGATTGGGGAGGAAGTCATGAAAATCTAGATAAATTCTTTGTTCAAGTTGCTACACGAATGTCTTTAAATTCTCACTAGATTTTGAAGATGCAAAACTAGAGATCATTTGATAATAATAGTGGCAAACAGTGCTTGTTCTGGATGAGGCACAACTATAAGTGGTTTACATATACTAACTCAACTAATTCTCCCATCAAGCCAATAAGAGCTATTTTCATTATATCCATTTTACAGATGAGGACAGTTAGGCACAGAGAGGTTACATGGCACAGCCACCATCACACCACCACTGAGGGGCGGAGTCAGAACCCAGACCTCCATAATGTAGCTCCAGAATCTTCACTCCTACCTCCACACTGTGCTAAAGAAGGAAGATGAGGAGCCACTCCAAGTAGGGAGGGGACTCTAGGTCAAAGGAGAGATAATGGACATGAATCCAATGTTTGGCACAATAACGTACATTTATTTAAGTTTTCTTTTTTAAAGGTTTCTGTAAACCTTTTCAAAAAATGATTCATTCCGTGCCGGGCATGTTGGCTCATGCCTGTAATCCCAGCACTTTGGGAGGCCAAGGCAAGTGGTTCACTTGAGGTGAGGAGTTTGAGTCCAGCCTGGCTAACATGGTGAAACCCCAGTATCTAGTAAAAATCCAAAAAAAAATTAGCCGGGTGTGGTGGCGGGCGCCTATAGTCCCAGCTATTCGGGAGGCTGAGGCAGGAGAATTGCTTGAACCTGGGAGGTGGAGGTTGCAGTGAGCCGAGATTGTGCCATTGCACTCCATCCCGGGAACAAGAGTAAAACTCTGTCTCAAAAAAAAGTAATAATAATAATGATTCATTCTCTCTTCAGTCAGTTTTCCTAATTAACCAATTATCCCTCAAGAAAAGCAGAAAAGCAGTGGCAGGAATGTAAACTAGTACAACCACTATGGAAAACAGTGTGGAGATTCCTTAACAAACTAAAAGTAGAACTACCATTTGATCCAGCAATCCCACTACTGGCTATCTACCAAGAGGAAAAGAAGTCATAATACAAAAAAGATACTTGCACATGCATGTTTATAGCAGCACAATTCACAATTGCAAAATGCAGAACCAATCCAAATGCCCATCAATCAATGAGTAGATAAAGAAACTGTAATATATATGTGTGTGTGTGTGTGTGTGTGTGTGTGTGTGTGTATATATATATATATATATATATATATATATATATATATGAGATAGAATACTACTCAACCAAAAAAGGAATCAATTAATGGCATTCACAGCAACCTGGATGAGACTGGAGACTTATTCTAAGTGGAGTAACTCAGGAATGGAAAAAAAAACATTGTATGTTCTCACTCATAAGTGGGAGCTAAGCTATGAGGATGCAAAGGCATAAGAATGACAAAATGGACTTTTGGGGACTCAGGGGGAAAGAGGAGGAAGGGGGTGAGAGATAAAATACTACAAATTCGGTTCAGTGTATAGTGCTTGGGTGATGGGTGCAACAAAATCTCACAAATCACCACTAAAGAATGCACTCATGTAACCAAATACCACCTGTTCCCCCAAAACTTAAGGAAATAAAAATTTTTTTAAAAAAGAAAAGCAGTAGATAGGACATTTCTTCTATAGTTCACCCTAACTGGACAACACGAAGCAGCTTTAGCTGCTGGATAGGAGCACAATACTCCTAATAAATATGAAGAGGGTTCTGAAGGCAGCTAAAAATGATGTGCAATTTTTATATGACAAAATGCAGGATCCACCGTGTGATACTGAAATCTAAGAGAACGTCTGAATGCATCTTGCATGGTGTATTGGAATGGTAACTTCTGCAACAAACCTTTCCCCAGCAAAGAGAAGGGTGAGAGTGTGTGTGTGTGTGTGTGTGTGTGTGTGTGTAATGTGAATATATGCAATATGATGTGTCTGCACCTATCATCTGAACTGGCTGGGCTTTTAGGAAAGTCTTTTGGACCAGGTTTAAGGAAGCTCTTGAAGTTAAGAATGGAATTTTCATCTCTTTAATCTTCAAAAGCAGTCTGCAACACTATGCATTTTCTAAGGGTTAGGACTGGTCTCTAAATTTGGGGGGTTTTTCTGGAGGGAGGTGGAAGGAGGCTAATTACATGCAAATCTTTTCCTCAACACAGTATATAGAGGAGAGCTGATGAAGTAACCTGCTTTTCAATGTTTTTGATGGAGAATTCTGAATTCCAGGATCAAGAATACAGATTTGGTGTCAAGAAGGTGCACTGATAAGAGTGGAAGGTATATTTTCAAGATTACTTAGCAGCCCTGTGTTGGACACTTGGTAGTGATAAGGTCTGGAGGTATACTGAATACAAGGGCATCCCCACTCTTCCTGCTTTATGCTCAGCTCATATCGCCACCACTCACTGATCAGAGAACAGACGAGAAGGTAATGGTATCTTTGCATCAAGCACAGTGCCACTATGGCTGCTCTGTCACCGGAGGCTACAGAGATAATAGGGCTGGACACCAAGGGGACACAGAATGGACACCTGTCCCCACAATGTCGACTATGCTGGCAAATATGGCTTTGCTAGGTTTGCAGATAACAGAAAACATCTGGATCAATGACTTTTGTAGCTTTCATCTTGGCAGATATCCATTATGGAGGTCAGTATAAATTATATTTCTGGGCGATCAAAATAGCTTGATGAAAATAAGTTCAAAGTGACTTTCCAAATATAAATTCCAAGCTGCAGATAAATTAGTAATGATTTCTGCACTGTGTTCTCTATCTTGGCCCTTCTGCAAATTATGGACGATCCTACCTTTGTCAGGCACTTACTGTAGAGGCTGGTGAGAGGAGAATGTTTATAAAACTTGTTGGCTTTTGTGGATGAAAGGTTTTTGATTAGTACGAATTATAAATTATTACTATTCATTAGAAAGGACAAATGAATTATTTCAGCTCCCAATGCATCTCTGCCATCCACACACTATTGTACGTGGGGGGAGAGTCTGGAAGAACCCACCCTGTTCCCAGCACTGCTATTACACAAAACTATAACCCTCCACCTTCGAAAGAACACTTCAGAGCAGCCTGAAAAACCTGCAAAGTAAGCCCCGTATTTCTTTGTCCCTTTATCTAAAAAGCAGGGAAAAAAATATAATTAGAAACGTGGCTAAGAAGCCGTCACTATTGTGCTTGGTGATAAGCTTCAGATGTTTGGATCCCAGCTCGATAATAGCCTTCGTCTTGATCAGCGCCCCTTTACAAAGCAGGCTGCTACTTCACAGACAGGGTGGGGTCAAGGTTTCTGGCAAAGAGAATAAAGTAAAATTCCCCACAGAGGAGCCACTCCATAGAACCCGGTCATTGTGTAGATTTGATACCATTTTCCCCTGTAGCACATGCCGGAAATCGTCTCTGAAAGACCATTTCTTATCGATAGCATTTTTCTAAGTTGTGTTATATGCGGTGTACTGGCTCCTATGTTCACTGCACTTGCATTGTTTCAGGATTCTGCTTTTGCAAAATCATACTGTCTAGGTCGGGTGTGCTTGTTAGTAAGCACCGCCGCATTGTCAAGGCTGTGCCATCCCAGTGGGTTTATAGATGATTACCTATGAGGGTGGGAACTGGAAAATTATGTTCATGTCAGCCTTCTCCATTCATTTTCATTAAATCAATCCTTTTTGATAAATAATCCAAACTTTGTTATTCGACATTTCCAACGATGGGGAAAAGTCCAGGAGAATGGCAGAGAGGGAGAGGTGAGAGAGAGTAAGAATCAGCACAAACAAATTTAAAGTAAGTAGTTTAGAGCTATCATAATTTATTGGTGATTTTGGTAGAAAATGCTTTTTTCTCTGGTAACAACCAGCTTTACTGAGATGAAATTCACATACTATACAATCCACCTATTTAAATATAACTCAGTGGTTTTTAGTATATTCACAGTTGGGTAATCATTACCACAATCAATTTTAAAACATTTTTATCACTCCAAAAAGAGACTCCATACACTTTAGCTATCATTCCCAAACCCACCATCTCCCCCGTCCAAGCTAATGACTAATGTGTCTTATTTCTGTCTCTACAGCTTTCCCTATTCTGGACGTTTCAAATAAATAGAATCATACACTCTATGGTTTTTTGCGAGTGGATTCTTTCATGTAGCACATTTTCAATATCGACCATGTTGTTGTGTGCATTAGTAGTTCACGCTGTTGTACGTGTATACCTTATTTTATTTACCCATTCACACGCTGATGCGCGTTTGGGTTGTTTCCACTTTATGGCTATTATGAATAGTCAAATAATGCTGCTATAAATATTTGTGTACAGGCTTTTGTATGGACACAGGTTGTCATGACTCTTGGGTATATACCTAAGAGTAGAATTGCTGAGTCATAGACTAACCCTATGTTTAACCTTTTAAGGAACTGCCACACTGGTTTCCAAAGTGACTACACGATTTTCCCTTCATACCAGCAGTGTATGAGGGTTACAAATATTTTTTAAGTTGTCTAGCTTAAGACTATTAGACATCACTATCAAAAAGGTAACTTTAAATAACTCAAACAGGAAAAATCACAATTACAATGTTAAAATCTTTAAAATGAATTATAATGGAGCTGCTACTATCAAAACGATTGGGATACAGCAATAGAAATCTATAACTTGAATTAATTATTAGAAAGGAGCAAAAAGTAAAAAATATCAACAAAATAAGTTAAAAAGAGAATGACAACTATACGAAGGTATTTGAAGGATGGAACTAAAAGAGGGGGGCAAAAGTTAATGAAGCATAGAACACTTTATAGAAAGGTTCACGAAGGCAAAAAAATTGATCAGAAAAAAAAAGAAAGCACAAATAAATTATATCACAAATAAAAGGGGGCCATAACTACAGATTCAGTAAAGCCTAAAAAGATAAGAAAAACACTGCAAAAACTTCACGTCAAAAATTTCTTAGAAAAATATAACTTCCCAAAGTTGGCCCAGAAAGAAGAAAAAGCAAGGCTGCACTATCTTTAATAACTATTTTAGAAAATGGATTGTAAGTTAAAAACATGTTTTCCAAAAGGAAAATATCAGGCCTAGTTGTCTTTAGAGGTAAATTCAACAGAATATCCAAGAAACAGATTTGCCACATTTAATGCACACTGAGTCATAGATATTTGAAATAGCTCCAGAAGCACACTCAGGATTACATCATACATATATACATATTCATGGCCTATATGAAGTCAGTGATGGCATAATGGATGCTAAACATAGCACAGGACTCAAAAGAAGAGCAGCATGGACGCTACATTCAGGTGTCAGACGTTGCTCAATAGCTCACAAAATATCTTGTGCCTTCTAGGTGTTAGCTTCAACCAAATGAAACTGTTAATACTCAACCATTTTGTAACTACTTAAATGGCAATTTTGTGCATTTCAACCTTGCTAGGGGTGGGGATGCATATGGGGAAAAAAGTTTTTGATATAACGGGAGAGTCAGAGACGTAAACCAGTCATACAGAGAAGGCGTGTGGGGGGTAGGGTGGGAGGATGACGATCAAACTCAAACTTGTAGGATCAGAAAACGCTGCCCCAAAGATGAGATGCCAAAGGGAGTTGTTATCTCTTAGACAAAGTTGAGTTGTCAAAGGGAATTAGCTTTGATATTGCTGATTTCTTAAAACTCTGAGAATGTGTTTCTAAAATCAATGTCCAAACTCCACCCTATTTTCACCCATTACATATGTCTGGAGAGTCAGCTACTCTGTATTAATTAATTTCCTTAACAAAGTTATGCTGAGTGGCTACATGGAAGACACGCAATGCACGCTTTAATCATCACCCCACCCAACAAGGTAAGAATTACATTCCCTACTTTTACTAATGAAGAGACAGAGGCTCCAGCAGATACGCAAGATCATGCAGCCATTTAGTAGCAGAGCCTGGTAAAAATTATGGTAGGAAACAACAAGAAAACAACTGCATGATGCCCAGATAATCAATGACCTAAATGACCTTTGTAAAAATAACCATCACGGGGCAATTTTTTTTCAATTCTACTGTAAGGCAAAAATCTATTCCAGTTACTAGGCATGCTCAATGAGACTAGCAGAACTGTCCTGACTACCACCTACATGGTGCCAGTAAGACTTACAGCTCCAAAAATCTTTGAAAGACTAAGCCACAAGTCAAATTAGTCTGACGGGAATGTAGAGATGCCCAGGTCCTTTGAAATCAACTTTAAAAGACTGTCTAAAACTTCTGAAGTTCAGTAAAGGGCTGTACTCACAAATACTAACCATTTCTGCCCTTTCTTCTAGGAGTTACCATGTCACCACAGGGAGGTAGAGCTCTATCTCTCATCTCTAAAAATTCCATTTCCTAGGTTCTCTCACAGTTAGTGTGGCCATGCAGGTGAGGTCTCCCAAGAATGTGAGCAGACGTGAGGTGCACCATAGCTGAGCCAAGGCCTACAGGCCATAGGTGTGCCCACTCCATGTGCTCTCCGTCCATCTGATGGGCTGGATGTAGATTTCAATGGGGTTATGGGAGATAGCAGAGCCACAGAAGGAAAGCTGTATGACCCCCTGAATTGCCACGTGAGGAAAGCCACCCACCAAAGTGTGTTTTTGGTTGTTACATGAACAAGAAGTCAACCTGTGCATGTGCGAGCCACGGTACATTTGCTGGATCTACTTGTGATGGCAGGTGGTCCAATTCCACAGTGACAGAACCAGGTCAAGAGCAAGTATGCTGCCTCTTGTGTTGTAAAGGAATTTATGCAGCAGATGGCCCAGACAGAGACCCGAAGGTACTCCAGAATTCCTTCTACTCAGACCAAGTGGCAACCCCACCCCTGCTGTACCCAGCTGTGAAACCCAGGCTCTTCTCAGTCCAGAAGAACCACCACAAATCATTTCTGAAAATGATATCTGTAGAATAAATAAATAAATGCCTCAAGTGATAATAAAGTGTTTAACAAGACAGCGAGCATCGACATTACAGGAGATATCAAAATATTGGGCAAAATGAAGGGAAAAAATGGAAAGAGGTTTACAACTTGCCCCTGCTGTAATAACAGGTACTACTCTTACAATTCCTTCATAGGTATTTTTATTGCCTATGTAAAGAGTTGTTTTTCTTAATTTGTTTTTATTGATAAATAAAAATTGTATATATTTATGATATACAACATGAACTTTCAAATATGTATACATTGTTGAAGGGCTAAATCAAGCTAATGAGCATATGCATTACCTCCCATACTTATTATAAAGAGATCTGAATACAAAAAATTATAAGCTAATAAGTAGCCAAAGAACCGTAAATTAGATAGCCATTTATTTTTAAGAAAGATGATAAGCAATTAAGTATATACAATGACATTGGGTTATTTGAGGCTCTTTGACTTCCAGAAATAATCTGATTTGACCCAAATATCAGTACATTTTGCCACTTATACTACCTACTCCATACAGAGAAAAAGCAAGACGACTGTATTGGAACCAGACCCAGTGAAACACACTTTGTAAATGGGGGTAGGAAACATCAGAAGTTGGAAATACAGAATAGAACTAGAAGGGATTTTAGAAAGTTTCCTCCTCAATTTCCTATTCTTAGAAATATGGAAAGAGGCATAAACAGGGTGAGTGACCTTCCCAAGAAAACACAGCGCTTTGGTGAGAGAAAGTGGAGTAGCTCCAGGGTTACTGACTCCTAGAGCTGTGTTCTTTGGCTCTGATAATAAAGAAGGAAGATCAGATTTAACCTCAGAAAAATACCTGGACATGTACTTTCATTAGCTAAATTATTGTAAGGAGAAAAAGATACGAGACTTAGATTATTACTGTCTTAAGTTTGCCAGGATAAATTTTATAAGAATAATGTCATTGAGCTTAAAAATTATTAAGGACATTTTTAAAACACGTCCTAATTCCTTCCACTATAATCCACTGCTGTTATTATTAAAATCTAGGTCTCAAGTAATGAGGTATATACTTTCTTATTTAGAAAAGCTAACAGATTATTTATAATTATCTTAATGGTAATACACATTCAATTACACAGAGAAAAAAAATCAAATCCATTTAATTCTACCTTTCTTAACCCTGAAGGATATTTCTTCCAGATTTCACCAGCTGACACAATTCAGATGAAAAAAAGATCCTTTCTTTATTACTTAAAGGGAACGATAAATCATATGTAGACCTCGGGGAGGTGGGGTCAAAGTGGAGGAGGGAAGGAGGATTCATTTGCTTATTAGTTTTACATAAAAAATTAAGAATAACAAGCAGATCTAAATCTGCCCCCACAATTGAAGCTGCATATCAGTTGCTCCTGAAACATTAAAGACTTCTCTTAGAAACTGCAATCAACCTAACTTTCTGTTGTCTTGCAGACACGCATGCTGCTCCAAATGATGAGATGTTATTAATAAAGGACGAGATGGCTACAAATTAAAGCAAGCCCTGCTTAATCACATTAATCCAGAGCAAGTCAAAGGCTTCAATTTTCGAAATAATTTTGGGCTTAATGCCTTGGAGATGGGCAGACTGCTCCATTGAGGCAGCAGCTGGTCCAATTTAAGCTGCATTGTGAGGCCGGAATTGTCAGGTCCTTACAGAAACAAGAAAGCCTGACAGTTTTCAGGATGCAACCAAAACTGCTGAGACAAAGGAAATTGCAAGAAACTGAAAGGGCCCTGTAACAATTACAAGGCAGCCCACTGTTGGGTGGATTATATATGATTAACCAACTCTCGCTGGGTGGCGTGCACTTACTGCGACCATGTGCTCGGCCACTGAGCCCCAAACAGCTGCTCCAGGAGGCACAGTCAGGGAGCCACTGCTGTGGACTGCTGATTAGAGAAAGGTAACTTGTCTATAAAGAAACAGAGTAGCCACCACCACGGAGGTCACCCTACATGTGTCGCCTGTTTCCCCCACAGTAACGACCGCTGCAGTGACCACCAGGAAGCCCAGACACGGAGCGAGAGGCCTGCCCAGGCACCAGTGTGTAAACACCAGCCAGTGTTGGAGCAACAGAAGGAACTTAAACCCCCAGTACCAGAGGACAGGTTTTTAGCAGTGCGATTTCACTTTTCATGAGCAATTAATGATTTTCTATGGAACAAAACTAAAAAAGTAGGTTAAAAACAAACGAGTTCCAGATTGTGGGTCAAGAGGCGTCATTTCCAACCCTAGATGTGCAACTCTTTGTCTGTGTGATGTTGAGGAATCCATGTTAATCTCTGGGCCCTGCTTTTTTCATGGATTGTACTGAGGTTTCCTGTTTTGTGTCACACAGCTTATAAGTGACAGAGTCGACCGACTGCAAGTTTCTCATGGCATCTCCTTGTACTTACACATTTCCTAATCCATTGGGAGATGCCAGTGCATAGTGGTGAAGGGCACAGACTCAGGTGTGAATCCTAGTTCCATCTCTTGCTTTTTACTATGACTGTTCCAATTACTTCAAGCAGAACCTGAGAAAGAGAATTGGACTCTTTGCTACTTATTTCACCAATGAACAATAAAGAGGCTGTACAGAGGAAATGCTTCTTGTGCTTTCATTTCTGTTTCACAACTCCAATTCTTTAAAATTCCCATGTGTCAGAAAAGAAGATGCATCTACAAAATAGTAAAATCATACTGTGAACCCTTACACAAGGCTTGGACTAAGGAAATAAAACACGGGGAGTCATAGAAGACCCAGATAATCATTTAAGCTCTTCTGCTTAGAGAGCTGTTCCTTAAGATTTCTGAAACTTCAAACTTGATCGTATGGAATTATCTTGCAATCACGGGGATGAAAACATGTTCTGTTTTCTCATTTCAATGCTTTGGTCATATGTGGTTTTATTCAGTAACTTTGCTCACATTACTCTTATCTTCTTTGGCACATTATGAGAAATTTTCAGAAAAAAGGACACCTGGAATATGAAAGGCAGCAAATAAGAATTATTCTCATATCTAAACTGATGAAAATAATGCATTTGCACGTCATGTCCTTGATTAATTCCAATATTAATATCATATATAGTCCTTGGAAGCCAACCAATAAACACTGTTCCAAATAATATTAGTTTAATTGAGTGAAATAACTTTACTGAGTTTTAAAGCAACTCAAAAGAAGATAGACGAATGGTTGGATGGACGGATAGATGGTTGGTTGGCTGAATGGGTGGGTAGATGGATGGTTGCTTGGTTGAACAGGTGAGTGGGTGGATGGGTAGATGGATGGATGAATGGTTAGATGAGTGGATGGACAGATGGCTGAATGGATGATGGTGGATGGGTGAGTGGGTGGGTGTACAGATGGATGAGTGGATACATGGATAAATGGGCGGATGAGTAGATACATGGATGGATGGGTAGAGAGATGGATAATCAGGCATATGGATAACACATGGATACATAAATAAATGGGTAGGCTGACCTCTATATATACAGCACAACTCACTTTAGGTAACACAGGTATGTCTGAAAAGTCCATAACTTCTCCAGATTGGAATGGACCTTGGGAATCACCCACTTCTGCCTCCTATCCCAGCTGAACTTCCGCAAAATGACTGAGGATCACCCTAGCCTCAGCTTCATCACTCTTAGTGTCAGGATAATGGTGACATTTGGAGTGAAGCATCCAAAACCCTCATGGGATGCCAACATCTGCTTTCCCATAACTGTCCCTGGTCTTGGTCCCTCTGAGAAACACATACTAATGATGTCTTCCCTCCCTCAGGCAGCTGTTTTTCAAATATTTGAAAACAATGGACCTGCTCCCCTGGCCCACCATACATACCCAAGCCTTTTACATACTGTCTGGAATTTAACTACACTAGCATGTTAGAAGTTTGAATGTAACAGGAGTTCCAGTTATTAACTCTGCTCCAAACCTACCCTTCTTTCTCTGCTCTGTGATAATAGCACTGGGCCTTGTAAATTGCGTCCTTTGCCAGATGCCTTGATGCTAACCCCTGTCAGTAGAGGGCGCCGGAGGGACACATGAGGAAGAAGGGGCTTCTCCCTTCCTGGTTCCCAGAGGCTTCCTTCACCAGGCCCCTGCAGGGTACAACTCTCTCCTATCCTCACCTCCTATAAAGCAGCTGCCTCTCTCTAGGCTCAGGTAGACCTCTTAGGATAGCTGCTGCCTCATCCGCAGATAGGAAGGTGCCAAATCCCACTGTTGGCTCGAGGATCATAATGTAAGCCTCCAATTCTCTTTCTCAGGTTCTGCTTGAAGTAATTGGAATAGTTTGTGTTGCCTGAAAAGTAGCCCTAACAGTGTATTTATCGACTTCAGTTGAGAACACATTCACAGAGCCACAATAACATAACATAAACATAGCATAAGGTAAACAGTGTTGATTTACTGAAAAGTTTTGATACAATTATAGAGAAAGAATGAGAAGAAGTGAGATGGTGGGAGGTTGCATAAGAAAGCTAACTTTCTATCACTGATAATTGTGATATTAATAATTATCACTGTTCTCATGATTATAAAACTTACATGACTCTTATTACATACCAAGTACTTTATGAACAGTAATTCATTTAATCCTAAAAGAATATTGTGGGATAGAAAACTATTTTCCCCATTTTACAAAAGATGAAATTACAGCACAGCAAAATCAGATAACTTATCCATAGTTGCACAACTACTAGGGGGTAGAAGTAACTAATGTCTAAGTGAATAAAGTAAGGAATAGAGGTATAAATGTGTTATTTCAAGATATGGATGCTACTAGAAGGAGCAGGTAAAATAATGTGGAATTCTGGGGAGCAGGTTTTAAGGTAGGGTAGAATAAGTTGGAAGAATACCATTTTTATTTTAAATGCTAATCGACTTAAATGCTAACAGATTGAACAACTCACTATAACTTAGACTAAAACAAAATTCAAATAGTTCCTACTGAATGCTAATTTTATCATATCTGTAGTCTCAAATATGCATGTGAATAGCTTTTGTTTTCAGAATTATCTTACTAACTTTATTTTGCTGCTGTTACACGGTCTACTTTTTCACAAACCATCACTCTTCATGATTGCTTATACCAGTCTTAAAAGCCACCCTCTTACTAGTCATATTTAAATTTAGAATATTAAAACATGATACCTTCTAACTTGTGCAGTTTCTCCTAAATTTGCTACAGATGCTGTTATTCATCCACTTAAGAGATATTTACTTGATACCTGTTTTATGCCAGGTCCTAGGCTAGTGTCTAGTGATTGAAAGATGAATGTGACAAAAATTTCTCTCCCTCAAGAAATGTACAGCGTAGAATAAAAAAAATAAACACATAAATCTACATAGTATCGACATTTGGACGCTTTCCTGTAGAATTCGTTTGAGGGTAGTCTTAAAGCGCGAGTAAGAGTGAGGGTTAATTTTATGTGTCAACTTGACTGTGCCAAGACATTTGGCTAAATATTATTCTGGGTGTCCCTGTGAGGGTGTTTCTGGATGACATTAGCATTTGAATCCGTAGACCCGGTAAAGCGGACAGCCCTCCTTGATGTGGATGGTCCTCACCCAGTAAGTTGAAGGCCTGAATAGAACAAAACACTTGAGTAGAAAGGACTCCTCCGGCTTGAAGGATTGAGCTGAGACACTGATTTTTTTCCTGCCTTTGAACTCTAACTAAAACATCAGCTCTTCCTGGATCTAAAGGCTGCTGGCATTTGGACTGGAACTATGCCATCAGCTCTCTTGTTCTCCAGCTTAGATCTTGGAACTCACCAGCCTCCATAATCATATGAGCCAATCCTGAGCCAATTCTTTATAATACATCAACCTCTAGATCGATCAACTCATCAATAGATCATCCTATTGCTTCTGTTTTCCTGGAGAATATTGACTAATATAATAAGCTTTTACAAAGAACAAAGTGAAGGGAATAACTCCAGATAGAGGAAATAAGCTTTCATAAAGTTTTGGAGGCATGAAGGGAGCCAGCATCCATGGTTGGAGAATAGAAGAGACTGAAGAAAGAAAGGGGCTAAATTGGAGGATTTTTAAAAAAGAGTACCTGGCCGGGCACAGTGGCTCACGCCTGTAATCCCAGCACTTTGGGAGGTCGAGGTGTGCGGGTCACCTTAGGTTGAGAGTTCGAGACCAGCCTGACCAACTCTGTCTTTACTAAAAATACAAAATTAGCTGGGCGTGGTAGCACGTGCCTATAATCCCAGCTACTTGAGAGGCTGAGGCAAGAGAGTCACTTGAACCCAGGAGGCCGAGGTTGCGGTGAGCCAAGATCGCGCCACTGTACTCCAGCCTGGGCAACAAGAGCAAAAGTCCATCTCCAAAAAAAAAAAAAAAGACTACCCATGGAAATTACATAAATCATTTAATGGAATTCTACAGCAAACTATTTTATAAAAGAAACAGTGCCCTTTGTAATGCAAATTGACTGTCTGATAAATCGGAATTTTTTGTAGAGATAAAACAATTTTTAATTGAATTTACGGGCAGGTGTTTCTTGCATATAAGATGCATAGTAATCCATGCCTCAAATTATGTCACTATTTACTTATATTTTACAATCTGCATAATTTCTAGAAAGATGGTTATGAAGAATTTTTACGACGAAAGTTTTCAAACATATACAAAAGCAAAAATAGTAAAATAAACCCCACTTATCCACCCGCTCTCCAGATGCAACAATTACTAACATTTCAACACATGTACGCCATCAATCTTTCTTCTTTCTTCCTTTTTCCTTTATTTTGTAGTATTTTAAAGCAAATCTCACATCATTTCAGCCCTCAATATTTTTATACATAATTGCTAAATGCTATTTTTATACATAACTGCAATACCATTATCTCATCCAACAAAATTAACAGTTACTCATTAGCACCATCTAATTCCCACTCCATATTCAAGTTCCCCTGATTATTGTCACCCTAAAAAAGTTTTTTAAAGTTATTTTTCCCCTAGTCAATTTCCATCCCTTAGTCCTCACATCGTATTTGGTCATGTACTCTAAATGTTACATAATTGAGAAGGCCCTCTCCCCTTTTTTAAAAAACACACTCATATATTTAAGAAGCCACATCAGCTGTCCTTAGTGTATCCCAAATTCTGGGTTTGCCTGCTTGCTTCCCCATGGTAGGTATCACAGAAAGCATTTCTCTATTCCCCTTGCTTCCTGTAAACTGGATGCTATATGCCATCTGTGTATCATTGATATAGTGACATGTCTTTTCAAATCTTTTGCCCACTTTTAAAAAGCTGTTTGTTTACTTCTTACTGAGTCTTAAAAATTATTCATATAAAAACTTTTATTTTTCTTCTATGGAATATTAAAAAAAAAAAAAAGAAGAAAGAACTCAAACATGAGCTTAAAGTTATTTATTGCCAGAACAAAAATGTGCACCAGGCAGCTGAGGGTTTGAAATAAAATAAAGCCCTCTTCCAGGAACAAAATGAGCTTCCTGTCAGCTCAGCATTTCTGCCGTGGCAAAGCCAAGCTGTGGGGAAGGCGCCTGGCTCCCATTGTGTCCGGGTGCCTCTCCCCTGCAGCACAAATTCCACCCTGCAGTGCCTTCAGCCTGGCTTCATAACTCTCTTCTTTTGAAGAAAAGCCCGAAGATCTTGGAATCACAGCTTTCCTAAATTCTTCATAGGGTCTGATGTGAATGAGCTAATGATGAATATTGTGTCAATACTCGTTATGAATGCTTATGAAATCACAGAACCTCAGGTACATCCACCTGGATAACACTTAATTCCCCTCTCCTTCACCCCTCACCAACGTGTGGAACTCCAGCTGCTCTGACGTGGTTTCAGTGGCCCTGTGCTGGCTCCTGGTGACCTCCCTCCTCTAGCAGTCCTTATGAGCATCCTGGGCATGACTGCTGTCAAGCTGGCAGTCTTCCATCTGCAAAACTCTCTTTCTTTGTATTACTAAACTTGGATTAGAACTTCTATTACACAAATAAGGCACCTAGTAGAGGATAGTTTTTTTTTTTTTTCAGTATGCTTCTTCAAAAGCAGACACACATAATTTCTATGGAAAACGAATAGAAATGAAGCCTTCAGCCAAAGGACATCATGTTGCCTTTCTTTTGTATGGCATTTTGTGGCTCTGTGCATTAACTTGAAACAGAAATAGCTACCAATAAGCAGAACTTTATTTTATTATTTGTAACAGAATCCGGTATATAAGTAAAACTTTCAAAGACAGATATATAAAACACATTTTTCTGATAATATTCCATTAAGGAAAGACCAAAGCTCCCATGTGAAACTTGACTCAAGTTTTTCAGTTCATACAAGAAAACATTCATTCTATAGCAACTACAAAACTTTTTTCCTTCACTGTTTAAACCATGCTATCCATTGCACATTATCTTCTTTGACACTCATAACAAACCCTTCAAGGTAGATGAGATCATTTTTCCACGGTCACAGAGAGAGTAAGCGGTAGCAGGCCAGGCACGATGGCTCACGCCTGTAATCCCAGCACTTTGGGAGGCTGAGGTGGGCAGATCACGAGGTCAGGAGATCGAGACCATCCTGGCTAACACGGTGAAACCCCGTCTCTACTAAAAATACAAAACATTAGCCGGGCGTGGTGGCACTCACATGTGGTCCCAGCTACTCAGGAGGCTGAGGCAGGGGAATGGCGTGAACCCCGGGAGGTGGAGCTTGCAGTGAGCCGAGATCGAGTCACTGCACTCCAGGCTGGGAGAGAGAGCCAGACTCTGTCTCAAAAAACAAAAAAACAAACAAACAACAACAACAACAAAAAACCAAAAGAGAGAGTAAGCGGTAGCAGCAAAGCTGATGTCCAAATTTTCTGCCTCTGAATCCCACGCATTTGACACTCTGCCCTGCCGGCTCTCTGTAGGTGACACTTCCCTGTTGTTCACACAAACCTATGCCTGGTGCAGCCAGAAAATTCAAAGAATTAACAGTGTTGCCTCAGCCCTACAGAAGTGATCGAGTAATCAGTGGTAACACGGGTTGTTTCTTCCATAAGTAGGCCTATATATCATGACATATTTCTGATTCTGCTATAAGTTCTGTTTCTTGAAGAAAAGAAATTCCTTTAAGCCTTTATTTTCCCACTGAAGAATAGTTGACAAAGGGATGAGTTACAATGAAACCACTTAAATGATTCAGAAAACTGAGAATGGCTCACTCTGTGGTATCATTTCTTTGAACACAATTGTTGGAGCACAATTGTTTGGATGAATTCTACTCTTGCCCATTATCTGAGCACAACGTGCAGCAGCAAATTGCATTTTGTGGTAACAATCCATCGACATTGGCTAGAACTCTATTTTCAACTGCCAATAAAGGCGTTGGAGAAGCATTCAAACCTGGAGACAAACGACTGTGCAAGGAAACACAGCGCACCTGCAAATGGGTTTGCGGGCTATGCCTTATCTATCTGTAGTCATTGTGTTCCAATCTGCATCTTCTCCAGAAAACTAAAAATAAGCGTCCCAAGAGGTGGGAAAAGGTTACCACTATCAAGTTGTGTTTTAATGGCAAGAAGTTAAATTGTACCTGAATTCCAGGAGGATAACAGGAAAGCATTCTCTTCAATAGGTTAGCTCCTCCAGGTGTGTGGAGATCCATTTAATGGTGTAATGTGTTCTATTAAGAAAATCAGACTGTAGCCCTGCTCAAAAGAAACCTGGGGCCACAGGCCCATATTCAAATCCCATGATGGGGAAAGAACTCGTTCCCCTCTTCAGAAAATTTCTGAAGCCAGGGTTATTTTTTAAGAAAGTCTTTATGGTGTGAACTTGTTTGATTGTATAGTTAGTCAATTAGCAGCAACTTATTGAGGTCTTACTATGTGCTAGGCGCTAGTCTGGATGATAGGGAGAGAAGAGGCAGATGGGAAACAAATCATTAGTGTCAGAAAAGAGAAGGATGGTGCTGTGAAAATATGTAATGAATGCCCCACCCTAACCTCGGGAGTAGAAGTTCAGGTGCCATGGAAAGTGAAAGCCTGCAGATGAGTAATGGCTGGAATAAAAGAGTGTAGTCTCCCCATATCTCCTCTACTCTTCTTAGAAATCATTTTTCAGCAACATACTTTCTACCCAAATGTCTGGAGTGCCCACAGAAGCAATTTTATTAGATGAGAAAGAAGCGTTCCCATTTTGTTTAAAAGTGAATAAACTGCTTGTTATAGCTAGAACGGTGTGCTGCAATTATTCACACACGTGTCCATCTCCTCCACCAGGTTATGAATTCCTTCAACACCAGGACTGCTCTGCTCATCTTCATATGTATTCATTTAGTTGTTTATTCATCAAATGCTTATGAAATGGCACTAGAGTTATAAATAAAAATTACAGGTCTTGGCCCTGAAGAAATTCCTGCTCTCACAGCAGGGAGCAAAGCCATCATTGTGACGCAGGACATGCAATGAGGGAAATATGCAAGGGGAATGAATGTGGCAACCCCGCCTCAGGGTCTGGGATGGGGTTAGGGAAGGTCCCTAGAGAAGGTAAAGCCAGTTTTCATGGTGCCTCCCAAACGAACACGTGCAAGTCATTTTTTCCACATAAAATGAAAAAATGCATGACCTTTGGCCCATTATGTACATGGAGAGCATGTCCTCTCACTGAATCCACTTGGGTACACCAGAAGGATACTCTTCCCCTTCTGGCAGATAGCGAAATTGGTGTCGGGAGAGACTAAGTGACTCATTCCTGATCCCCCAGCAGGTGTAGGGGACTGTCAGACTCCAACTCCGGTGCTCCTTCCTGTATCTCTCTCCTGACTTTTGTAAAGCAAGCACACTTCTGGGCTAGAAGCACAATGGAAGGCTAAATACTAGGACCCATAGTAATTCCCCGGGACAAATCCACTTGCCCCAGCCCTAGATAACTGTGGTGTGGAGACTGAGCCATATACCACAGTCAATGCAGTGGTGCTAAGGACTCCTACTCCTGGAATAATTATAAGGACAAGAACTGGGGGAAGAAAAAAAGCCACATATCCCTACACAACCCCATTTTGTCTTTCCAAAATCAACTCCTTCCCTCCACGAGTTGCTCTCCCCAGCCACTGCAGCCTCCCCTCCCACTGTGTCTGCACAATAAGAACCCAAACAAACTTCTCTCTTGGCTGTTGTCATGAACGGCAGAGCCCGTGCTCCACATTGTTTGGGATAGCCGTCCAGAGACATAATTACATGATTAAGCACTGTGTCCTCTCCAGGAAATCTAAAGTACCATAATTACTACAACCGGGAGCGGGTGGGGTAAACAATGTGCAATCACTGCTGTTGACAAGGTTTTAAACTGGAGTCTGAGACTATGTTGGTTCGCATTAAAGGGGGAAGAGGAATACTTCTTGCTCCATCCATGTTCGTTCGAGAAATGCAACAAACTATAATCAAGAATATAATCAGGAATATAACAAAACACTGATTGCCCTTAATGACCTTATTATTCTTTCATTAAATGTATTATGAAAACTGGGCAATGTACTTTAGGGGTTTATTGAGTGATGTACATATATAATGTATGATTGACCTTTGCATTTTAATATGACAGTACTGGTAGAAGACTTCTGTCACCATCGGTGGGTAAAGTGACCTTAATCCACAGATCCAATATGTGCCTTTTGCTATATTACACACGTGTCAAATGACTTGCACTATATATAAAAATTAATCAAAATGGATTGCAGACTTAAATGTACATCTTAAACTATACAATTTCTGAAAAAATAAGAGAAAATATTTGTGTTAGACAAATAGTTCTTAGATATGACACAAAAGTTTCATCCATAAAAAAAAAAACCGATAGACTGGATCTCATCGAAATTTAGAAGTTCTACTTTTCAAAAAACACTGTTAAGAGAATGCTAAGACAAGCCACAGACTCAGATAAAATATTTGCAAATCATTATGTCTGATAAAGGACTTGTTTCCAGAATATATCAGGAGCTGTCAAAATTACAATGAGAAAATAACCCAATAAAAAGCATACATAAGAGATTTGAACAGACAATTTATGAAAGACATACACATGGCAAGTAAGTTCATGAGAAAATAATATAATTCGGTCGTCAGGAAAATGCAAGTGAAAAACACAGTAGGATACGGCTACACACCTGTTACAATCACTAGAAGTAAAAAGACTGGCCATACCAACTGCTAATGAGCAAGTGAAGAAACTGGAACCCTCGTACACTGCTGATGGGAATATAAAATGGTACAACTACTCCAGAAAACAGTTTGGAAATTTCTTAAAAAGTTAAACATAAACCTACCACAGGTCCTGGTCATTCCATTTCTAGGTATTAATGTAAGAGAAATGAAATGACACACCCACACAAACACTGGTACATGAATATTGATGGCAGCATTATTTGTAACAGCCCCAAACTGAAAACAACCTCACTGTTCATCAGCAGGGAAAAGGATGCTTCATCCATACAAGAGAATATCATTCAGCAGGAAAAAGGAGTGAACTGCTGATCCGAGAACATGGATGCATCTCAAAACAGGTGGAATCAAAGAAGCCAGGCACAAAAAGAAATCTGTGTGATTCCAGAAAAAAATTCTACAAAATGCAAACACACCTGTCATGACAGGAAGCAGATCAGAGGTTGCCTGGGCACCAGGCCTGCAGGGTGAGGAAGGCAGGGGGAGGAATGATGAAGGCATGCGAGGTAACTTTTTTTGGGGAATGGATCTGCTCATTATCTTGACTGTGGTGAGGGCTTTACAGTGTCTACCTATGTCAAAACGTATACTGTTCACTTTAAAATATGTACTTTAATATAGATCACTTACAGCCCAATTCAACTGTTTCTAAAAGAACTCTGAAAAGTGAAAAGGCCAGGGTTCTGGTCTAGTCCCTGCTATGGGCTAGCTGCCTGACAATACTGAGTCATCACCTTTGTTGAGTTTCTATTTCCTACCCTGGGAGAAGAGAAGATTCCAAAGGCCCTTTCAGCTGAAATACTCTAATGAGAGGCATAGGTCACTATTTCCAGCAGCCACCACACTTTGTGAGCACCCCAGAGCTGAATGCTGCCCAGAAGCCCCTGTGACACACCTGTCCTACCTCAATCTCCCCCCAGGATCTTCCAAGAGCCAAGATCAGCCTTTGACTCCATGTCTGCTCCAGGCTGGACTGTGTCCTCTGCCTCCCTCTTCTCTCCCCATCACGTGGTATATGACCCAGCCCTCCTCCAGCCAGCTGCAGAGCATATTAGCATCTGGTCTAACTTCTGGAATATGGACTGGCCTCTTCCAGGACATAATTTGGTAAAACACCACCTGAAGAGTCAGACAGGATATTGAATCAGCTGCAGGTAAAATGTGAACAAGAGCTCTCAATGCTCTTGCTTCCTGAATTAAAGACAAATACCTCAGTCTGTTGTGACCTAATCTGAACAGTCACTTAGGACTCACCAAGACCCCAGCTGTACCCCAGCTCCAGTGGCTGCACATACTGAGAGATGGGTTTCAAGCTTCTCATCGCACAGAGGGCTCTAGGCCAACCTGACCCCCACCCTGCGATTTGGCCCTTGCTTCCATCTCCTCAGCAGGTGGGACTATCTAACTGTTTAACTGACTTTCCAGTGCCCTCCACATTGGGCTCTCAAGTTAGTTCCTGGGACTTGATATAAAGGATTGTCTCCCTCGCCCATTCATCAAGACTCAAGGCTTCTCACTAGTCATCTCACCTTAATGACCACGTGCACCAGAAGGCCATTTGCTCTTTTCCTTCCTCACCTTGGGACCCCCAGCATCTCCCTCATCATGCCCACCTGCTCACTCCTGCTCTCCAAGCAGCTCAGCCCTGCCCGACAGCCAGCTCCCTGTTGCACCCACCTGGGCTCCACTGGGAGCAGCTTTGCCTGGCAGCACTGGTTTTAGCCCAGGCAGCCATCGTTCTGATAAACAAGTTGAAATATAGCTGGAAATGTTGCAAAAAGAGAAAATTTTGAAAAAGATTCAATGCTAAACTTCTGAAAAGACCTAGAATCAAATATATCTTGCAATCATTTAAAACTATGTGCATATAATTTATAATAGTTTCATCCAATGATAAGATTGTTCTGGGCAATCAAAGAAACGACCTAATAGTATAGGAGGTTAAATGCTACATGCTAATAGCTGGAGTTCTCATAAGCTACTGGAAATGAGGGGAAAACAATGATAGCAGTGACTTTATGACACACAGGTAGAGTTTGAGAAGGCAATCTAAAATTCACCTGACTTTCACAAAAAGACTGGCTTCTACAAGAACAGGTCTCTAGTCAAAGCTCTGGAGTAATCAATCTCATATAAACTTGGAGGGCTCTGCTTCCTCTGTTGAAATAAATCATTAGCTTATTAAAGTAAAATATACTTTTCATGACAAGTAGACACACAGATCTGAAGCCTGTGAAAAAAAATATTTTTAAGTAAAGAAAACTGTGGTCACATCATTATTTACTTGAGTGAATAGGAGGAAAGGAGAGGATGAAAAAGCAAATAACAAAGCTTTTAAAATGACCAAATCTTAGTTTTGTAATGTGTTCTGTATCTATATTTGATTTCTAAAAGCATCAGCTATTCTAGCATTCACTTCAAATACAATAACGAAATCACACTGTGAAGATCTCACTCTAAAGATGGGTTGAAAGGCTTTCTGGTTCTCTCCACCTTATTGTCCTACTCAGCTCTTTCCCTATTCCTGTCCCCAGCAGGCTTCCCTTCAGAAAGACCCAAGGTGTTGAGTCCAGCACGAAGCCTCAAGGGGCCAGCCATGAAGCCAGGGCCAGTTTCACATCGGTGGCAGTGGGAATAAAAAAGAGAGAAGACTGAAGAAGGATTTCAGTGTTTAAAAACAAAGCCAAAGAATGATTCCCGGTTTTGGTACCACAAAGGCTCTTAGAGGCTGCCATATAGGGAGATACAGGGTTTTCAGAAAAATGCATATGGCATTAACCTATTGTCTGAACGTGCACACATACCTTCCTGGAATGATGTAGTCTTTTTTCCTATCATGGTAGAACTCAAGTCCTTTAATAGAATGAATGGTAAGCACTGAAGCACTCTGAGAACAAGGCTACTGACTGTCTACAGGTGATGAAGGATAAATCAAAGATGGCCCTGTGACAGACAGTCTGAGTTACTGGGAGAATGGTGAGGCCAGTAGGGAAGAAATGGGAAAGTCAGCAAGGCAACTTCGTTTGGGGGTGACAGCAATAAAGATTTTGAGTTTAGCCATTAAACTGAGAAACACCCAACCTAATGCTGGTTTTATAATCAACCACTGAAAATATGATAATTTTTCTAGACACTAGGCCTCGGGCTGGGGTCAGGATAAACTGTCACTGGCAAAGGCCAAGCCGGTACACAAACAAGACAATCAGCACCCATGTGGGAGGGTGGATGGCCACAGTCAGGTAACAGAACTTGCAGGAAGTCAAGGGACCAGGGCCAGAGTCAGCTACTAAAGTCATCAGAAGCACAAAATGACCAACACGGCAAAAAATGAGAGGCCAAAACCATAGGTACAACCCAGTAACAAGGTCAATAGAAGCAAGTGAACAAGAAAGGTGTGAGTGCCAACATTCGGGCATGCAACAGTCCAACCTGACTTTCTGGGAGAATATTGGGACTAACAGAGCCTGGCTGTGGAGGCCTGCAATTCACCTTCCCAGAACTACTCTGGTCCACCAGTGCCCAACCCACACAGTTCACAAATAATGGATGCCTGGGGAAAGAAATTTTTCAGAGAATGAAAAGGCAAGCCACAGACTGGGAGGACACATTCTCAAGTCACATATCTGATAAAGGCCAAAACAATCTTAAATCTCATCAATAAGAAAACAACAACCCAAATAAAAAATGGGCAAAAGATCTGAATAGCCACCTCACCAAGAAGATATAAAAATAGCAAATAAGCATAAGAAAACATACTCCACATCATATGTCATTAAAGAATTGCAAATTAAAACAATAAGGAGATACCACTATACACCTATCAGAATTGCCAAAATCCAAAACACCAACAACACCAAATGCTGGCAAGGATGTAAAGTAACAGGAACTCCCACTCACTGCTGGTAGCAAAATGGTACAGTCACTTTGGAAGACAGTTTGACAATTTATGGCAAAGCTAAACATAGGCTAACCACATGATCCAGCAATCACATTCTTAAATATTTGTCCAAATGAGTTAAAAACTTATGTGCACATAAAAACCTGTACACAAACGTTAATAGCAGCTTTGTTCATAATTGCCAAAAACTGGAAGCAACTGCAATTATTTCAAGAGCTGAATAGATAAAATAACCTATGGTACCTCCAAACAGTGGATTATTACTCAGTGATAAAAAGACATAAGCCATCAAGCCCCAGAAAGACATGGAGTACCGTTAAATACATATTGCTAAGTGAAAAAGACCTATCTAAACATGCTATTTACTGTATGCTTCCACCCATTCTCGAATCACACAGCTGCTTGACATTCTGGAAAAGGCGGAACTATCAAAGGTAAAAAGCTAGTGATTGCCAGGGGTTTGTGAGGGTGGAGAGATGAACAGGTGGAGCGCAGGGAATCTTTAGGGAGTGAACTATTCTGCATGATTCTATAATGGTAGATACACTTATTATACAATTGTCAAACCTACAGCATGTACAACACCAAAAGTGAACCCGAATGTAAACTATGGACTTTAGTTAATAATAACATATCAGTATTGGCCCATCAGTGATAACAAATGTACTACACTAAGATGTTAATAGCCAAGAAAATGGATGTATGTGTGGCAGGCGGTAACATCGGAACTCTGTGTACTTCCTGCTTACTTTTTCTGCTTAAACCTAAAATTGCTCTAAAAATTAAAGTCCTTAAAAAAAAGGTTTTGTAGAAACGAATGCCTTGCTTTCTTGCCCAGCCTGGTCTCAAACTCCTGGCCTCAAGCAATCCTCCCATCTCAGCCTCCCAAAATGCTGGGATCACAGACATGAGCCACCACATCTGGCCTTATAGTCTTTTTTTTTTTTTTTTAAGTAATAGATTATATACCCTTCATGAAGACAGAAACAATTTTATCCTGTTCACCACTGTATCCGGTCCCTAGCATAGTGACTTTCAAAGATTACGTGATTAATTTTTAAAGCTTTAAAAAAGAATTAACACAAATGTATATACTAAATGTATATTAAAATATTGAGTAAATAGCAACTTAAAGACATGACAATTCATCCATTTTTACCATAAATAAAAAGGTAATCAATACCATCACAGCAGACTATAGTTTTTTTTTGGGTACACTATTACAGCAACCTAAATATATCTAGCAAGAATTACTTTTGTTTTAGTTTAGTACTATTTGGTTTTTAAATGACAACTCCATCTTGTATTTTATACTTCATTCTGAAAGCTGAACAACATTTTACAAGTAACTATTTCCATGAAAGTTATTGTTTTTCACTTTGTGCTTAGACTAAAGATTCAGTGTTTAGAAAATTTATTTCAGCTATATTTTGAATATCTATCAAATATCCAAATGTTATTTTCCTCTCCCACTGCTCTGAAAGTCATACGATTACAACATTCAGAAGTGACATAATTAAAGTCAGGTCTTACAAAGATGAATTAAAGATAAGTCCTCTTACAAAAGACATTAAGCACACACACACGCACACAATGTAATTTCCTTCCTTTCCTTATTAATCTCGTTTGCTTTTTATTCCCCCCCACCAATGCAAACTGCTGTTCATTTCCCTTTCACATCAGGGGCACCTGTGTCTACCTCTGCCCAGGTATGTTGTCACTGGGTCAACATGATACGTCCTTGGATTTCCTAGCAGGCATTTGTGGTCCCTGGGTAGCCAATTTATGCAATGACTTGTCCATCTGTTGCCCTAACTCCAGGCTACGTGACCAGTCCATCTGTGCCTGTCAACTCTGCGTGCTGCCTCGCTTGTGTACGTGTGCCGCTAGAGTCGTGGGGTATTCTGTCCCCCGCTTCCTCCTCCTCTGTCTCCTCTGTGGAAACTTTGCTCCTTCCCTGTTCCATCCATCTCAGGCTCCTGCAGCTTTCTCACTCCACTTTCATTACTAACCAGGATGCCGTGCCCCTGTCACTGGCCAGGCGTGGTGGTATTAAACAGCTCTTGCATACTTGTCATGTGAGATCCCTCATCCAGAAGTGGAGCTTTTTTTATTCTGCTGCAACTGGACCAAATGGCAAGGAGAGCCTCCTGCATCAATGGCTCGCCCACACACAGCCGCTCATTTCTTCCCTTTCTTTGCCACTTCTTCTGACAGATCATATCATTATTGTGCATCAATTTTGTCTTGCAGTGTTTATGTCCCGTCCAACCGAAATGACTTGGTTGTTTTCTCTTTCCCGGAACTGCTCCCTCTGATGCATTCTCAGTGACGCAGGTCCAGGCCTCTTCTCTGGAGCGTCTGTGTTGAGGTCCTCAGAGGGCCTGTGCCAAATCAGGACTGTGAACAGCAGAACACCCACCAGGGAGAGCCTACAGAAGGGGTGAGGCGGGCAGAGCCCGAGTCAGGAACACCAGCGAGCTGGGTGGCACCGACTGCCATGGAAGAAGCCGAGAGGAGCAGCAGCCCCAGCCTACAAAAGCAAAGCCAGGTGCAGGGAAGCTGAGGTCCGGGAGAGGGTGGAAAGCACCCTGAATCTCTCCCCCACACGCCTGGACTGCTTTCCCTTGTTTCCCCAGGAAACCCTAGTCCTGGGTTTCCCAGGACGGTCTACCTTCCTGGAGGGGAATATCAACATATTATTTTCTGAGCTTTCCCAAATGTCCAGAAAAATGTTTTGCACCTAGTAAGTACTCAGAAGAAATGGGAATGGGGAAAGGGAGGGAAAGTGACTTAGGAATCCCACCCCCAGCCACAGGAGCAGGGAGAGAGGAGGAGACAACTCCAGATGGGAGAATGTCACGGGTCCCTACACACCTGCTTCACCAGGAAGTATGTCCTTTACCACCTGACTCTAATTATGAGCAGTGTTCCTTTCACCAACCTGTGAATTAACTCTTCTTGTAACTGCATTCTGTTTTATAGGCTCGATATTTACAGAACACTCCAGAAATGACAAAATTGCATTTATTTAGCCTCTGGGGCACTCCAGAAACTTAATTTTGTCACCTTGCTACAGCCCAAAAGATGCTAGAGTTTAAAATTCCCTCAGTTTTGCCAAAGAGTGGCCATAGATCTAAGTCCATTTGTTTTCAGGGCATTGAGAACTTCAATAGATTTGACAAGGTCAAAGGCAACAGATGAACATATATATCTGCCTCTTTTTTTTTTTTTTCCTTTGACAGAGTCTCTGTCACCCAAGCTGGAGTGCAGTGGCAAGATCTCAGCTCACGGCAACCTCCACCTTCCAGGTTCAAGTGATTCTCCTGCCTCAGCCTCCCAAGTAGCTGGGATTACAGACTTGCACCACCACACCCGGCTAGTTTTTGTATTTTTAGTACATACAGGGTTTCGACATGTTGGCCAGGCTGGTCTCAAACTCCTGACCTCAAGCGATCTGCCCGCCTTGGCCTCCCAAAGTGCTGGGATTACAGGCATGAGCCTCCGCACCTCGCTGTCTATCTGCTTCTTAAAAAGGTCTTAGATAACTGACAGCCCTCTGCTGAACAATCTGAGGGAAAGCCTGGTTTTGCCAAGACCTCTGCTCTTTAAACCATCAGGGAAGAGTTGCCACGTGGGAGAAGGGAGCTATAGTTCAGAACTTAGGAGAGACTTTGGACTTTTCTCATGATATTCTCCAACTCCTCATATAATCAGGAAGCACCGTGCAGGGCTTACAAGAGTCCCAGAGTCTTCCAAGACTTTCCAGTGGGATCCTCAGACACGGCCTTATTTAACGCATGAGGGGATGTGACAACTCGGCATTGATCAGGAGCCTATTGAGAGCAAGGCCTGCTCCAGGTGTCACAAGAATAGGGAGATGAAAAGACATAGTCCCTACCCTCAAGGAAAATCTCACCTAGTAGGACAGGAGCCTTTACATAATAACAGGTCCTGCTTTCCAATTAGCCAGTGAGTCTTAGCTGGGTGTTTTGTCTTTCTCACTTTGGAAGGGTGTTGTATGTCTCACTGACAATGGAGTTCTTTTCATTGTAGTGACTTGTACTTTCTTGTTCTCTTTGAGAGAGACACAGCATAGGAGTTCAAAACAACGACTCTAGACATAGACTGTCCCTGCGTCCATTCTGGCTCTGCCGCTTACTAATTATGGGGGTTTACACAAGTCAGATAATCTGCCTATGCCTGGATTTGTTCATTTTAAAAACAGGGACACTAGCCTACCCCCTCCCTATCCCCCAGCTGTTATGAAAATAGAAGAAGTGGTCACATGTAAAGAATTTAGAATTATGCCATGCACTTGGAAACGACTAAAACCTATTAGCTATTATTTTCTATCTCCAAGCTCATATGTAAAGGCCATCAACGTGTGTGTGTGGAAATCTCATGAACTCATCTCCTGCTTCTTAACAAGACATGCTGGTGTTCACCTCTCTGCTGCGCTGACCTGGCTGGAGACATCAGTCCCATCAAGCATGTCCTGTCAGAAAAATAGAATTACATCCTAGGTAAGAGAGTGAATTCTTGAACCAAGGCAAGTCTCCTTCTAAATGAGACTCTGCTGCTCATCAAAGCCTTGAGCAGTTAGTCCAAACACGGAGAGACAACTGTACTTATTTAACATCTATAGTCAAATGGGAGGCCATTGAGGTGCCGTTAATTGAAAGTAAATGAATCACCTGGGATCAGGAGTTTGAGACCAGCCTGGCCAACGTGATGAAACCCCATCTCTACTAAAAATACAAAAAACTACTTGGGCGCGGTGGTGCGTGCCTATAATCCCAGCTCCTCCAGAGGCTGAGGCAGGAGAATCGCTTGAGCCAGGGAGGCAGGGGTTGCAGTGAGCCGAGGTCACGCCATTGCACTCCAGCCTGGGCAACAAGAGCGAAACTCCATCTCAAAAAATAAATAAACTAAATGAAGAAGGTTTATGGACACACACAGAGTAGAATACATGGGCTGTCAGTGTCCAATGCATTGAGACCCAAGGTCTCTGAGGTCAAATGTTCCGGGGGTAAGGGTATTCCACATTTAATTACACTGTTTTTTGTGGAGACGGAGAGGGCCTGTCATCTTCCTCTTACTTCCAGGCTGCCTAAGGATCCTCTCAAGTCACTTGAATGCTTCTGTCTGTACGTGCCCATTCCTGGCCACCCCTGATGGAAATGGTGTCATCACCTCCTAAAAAATCCTTGTTTGTCTACGAGCACTAACCCTGCCTTGCAATGCCCTGGCCAAGAAAGGGCACATCAACATCTGAAGCAATCTTCCTGCCTGATATAACTAAAATGCTGGGTACAATATATTTTTAAAATATTTTAACATTTTTCACTGAGCTATTATGAAGGAAAGAAATGTATAAAAAGCCTAGAAGTTAAACAAACTACAGACCTCTGAGAGTTTCTTCTGGACCCACCTTGGTAGCCATTTGGGGCAGGAGAAGGAGGGCAGGAGATGAAGCCCAAGGTCCTCCCAAACTGAGAAATCTTACAAGAAACACTCCCACTGGGCTGAAACTCAGGGGGTCAGAGACTATAGCTTCGCCTCGGGGGGACAGAGAAATACATGTATCTCTGCCCCACAGAAAGGGAAGAATGGACACATGCAAATCTGAACTCTTACACTCTGGAGAGAGAAAAGTACTGTTGGAAGTTTTCACCAGCCACCCACCTAGACAGAGGTGCCGTCTGAATTCTTCTTACTTATGTGGCTCAGAAAAGAAAAGTAAGTTTCAATGTTAAGTGCTTTTGATGGATGAAGCCCCCAGTTGCCTGATATCAGCTAGCAGAAATCCTCTCTGGTAGAACTTCATTTCAACCCAGGCCTCCAGGCCTCCCCCACTCCAGAGTTCTTGCATTAATCTCTACTGAACGTTTAAAACCAGTTTCCTATGTTGACAGCAGCTTCATCCGTAATTGTCAAAACTTGGAGACATCCAAGATATTCTTCGGCAGGGGAATAGACAAGCAAACTGGGGTACATCCAGGCCATGGAATATTATTCAGTGCTAAAAAGAAATGACCTACCAAGCCGTGAAAAGACAGGGTGGAAACTTAAGTGCATATTACTGAAAGAAGCCAATCCGAAAAGGACATAGGCTGTGTGATTTCAACTCAATGACATTCTGAAAAAGGCAAACACATGAAGACTCCGAAAAGATCAGCAGTTGCCAGGGGTTGGGGGGGGAGGATGGGCTGAATAGGCTGAGCACAGAGAATTTTAGGGCAGCGAAATTACTCTGTACAATAACTTCATGGTGGACACAGGTCACTCATTATACATGTCAGAACATCAAGAGTGAACTCAACGCAAACTATGGCTGCTGAGGACGTGTCAGTGTGGTTCCTGGGGTGTAACAAATGCACCACTCAGGTGGGGATGTTGATAGCGGGCATGGTGGGGGGATGGGATAGATGGGAATTCTCTTTACATTCTGCTCAGTTTTGCTGTGAACCTAAAACTGCTCTTTAAACAAAAAACAGTTTATTAGATGAAAAAATTAAAACTTGTTTTTTAAAAAAAAAAACCAGCAGCTTCCCAATGCCCCCACACTGCCCACCGCCCCACTCCAGCCCCCAGTATGTGATTTCACCATTTTACGACCTGACTCTCAAAACCAGACAGATGATTGTTCCCCAGAGCATTTTCAAACTATCAAACGCAACCGAACACGCCTTAAACAAGGTGACAGATTATTTTTTCTTGTGCACAAAGACACACAAGTTCAGGTACCTATGGCTTTTTGTCAACCCATCCTTCCAGAGCCAAGCAGGTCTGCTGACAGGGGCACTGGTGTGACAGTCGCCAGCAGCTCCTTACCTGCCGGGACCGAGGGGGAAGGGACAGCTTTACATTAAATTCACTCAGGGAATCAGGCTGAAATTGAAAACGGAATTTCACTGGGAGAACGGGATGCTCTGGGACCTTGCTGCAAAACCTGGGACCTGTACAGAAACATCTCTGCCTGGGGCTCCTGGCCTGCCAGGGTGCACCTCTAAGGAGGCAGAGAATTAAAAGGCCCCTTCCCTCTGCACAGCCTCCTCAATAATCCTGCGAGTTTCCATGAGCATGCAAAGTGCAGCCTTGCAGTGGGCTAGTGATGAGCGAGGTGTGGAAGGCCTTCTCATGTTACTGCGTGTTTCAGCCCAAAGTTAACTTGGCCCTAGTCCTCAACTGCTTTACAGACTAAGCTCCTGGTAGGTTTTGAGGCAGCACTCTAGGGCCAGAATACTGAGGACGGGGCTGGGGGAAGCCCCCTCTCCCAATCACAGCATCTTGCACACTGTTTTAATAGACTTCTGTGCAAAATTTTTGCCTGAAGAAAAGATTGTAATGCCTAATAAAAGTTTCAAACAAATCACCGGAACAGATGACCTGTAAAGTCCATCCGGCTAAAGAAAAGGAAATCCCGTGTTTCTGTAGATCACATCCATCTAAACGCTTCCAGATCTCTAGATTATTTTTTATAAGCCATTTTCAAAACTTTGGCACAGCTCTAGCATAGCTTAATATTTTTAAATTATCCTAAAATGCTCACGAAAGACATGTGAAAATGCATTTGCTGGAAATGAGTGAAGGCTTAGAAGGAGACAGTCTTAAACATAAACCCTGTTTTATTTTCAATCCCACCAGCGGAGATTGTCAAAACCTCTAATGAGCCAGGTGGCACACTGACTAACTGTGCAAGTGTCTCTGACCCCTGGCACTTGTGTAAGGGGCAGCACTGATGCTGCTCTATCTCATGGGACTGTGACAGAGATTAGTAGGTAGAATGAGTTGTGGATTACAAAGTGGTCATGGAAAGAAACTACTATTGTAATACCCATTGAGAACATTATGTTTTCAATTGCTCTTCTAAACCTAAGATGGGTATTATGTGCTAAGTCACCAGTTTCTGTGACTTCTTTTAAGCCTTATAACAATAAACCAGAGTGGAAAAAACAACTTATCCTTAACTCAAGGAAAGAAGAAGCAAAAGAGAAGAGAGGGGAAGCAGGAGGAAGAGGAAACGTCAAGAAAGAAAGAGGAAGGCAACAACTATAAATAAAAGAGTTCAAAACACGTTGTGGGTAGGTGGTCACCCTCATCAGAACGCTCCAGTCAGAGACGTGATGCTACCTCCCATTCTCAAAGAACGAAGACGCTGAAATTAGTTCTGTCCCTCGGCATTCCCTGAGAGACTTCACAATTCCACGCTTCAGAGGCCAGGATTTATTAAGCAAAGCTTCTCCCGCAGCTGAGGGGCCTCGGTGGTTTGTAAATGACTCCCAGGCTGAGGAGTCCCCGGCAGATCGGAGGCACGGCCCCAGGAAACAACAGTGACCTCTTCCCAAGCCGCTCCGCTCACGTCTGGGTGCTTCACTCCCATGACGAGCAACCGTGTTTTTCTGTCTTGTTGCAATTTTCACTTGGCAGATGGATGGGCCAGTAATTGACCCAGATATTTATTTTTAATGTAACTTAGGAAAAAAAAAGAAACCTTTATTCTAAGGCTCTAAAAATTGTCAGTCATTATGAAGTAATTAAGACCCAGCATATCTCATAAAATTCCTGGAGAAGCTCAACCCCCTGACCCCCCATAAGGTTATTTTCTCATATTACATTATGGCTCCATTAGATGTGATTTGAAAACATCAGTGTGGGCACATTCATCAACTGCTTTTGCAATTATGTTTTAAAAACTGCTTGCTATATCAAATTCCTCTTAATCTCCCTTCTAAGTCTTTGAGAATATAATCCTAAAACAATGAAAGAATAACCTATTTCTAGTGTTGAATGGGTAAAAGGATGTTTTTATTATTGTTCCTTTCCATTTGTTTTCTACTTAAATGCCCTATTTGAATTTTACCACCAAAATTGCTGAAATATTGACACATTTAACTACTTAAAGTCTGTCAGTCTGTTGACCTTTGACCGCTGCACCTGTTCCTCAGCAGTGATTTAAGCTGTTCAAGGAGAGAGGTGAGTTGAACAGCCAAACCAACTATAGAATATTAAAATATCAAGGTCATATGAAGAACACGTAGCACATGCAATAGTCTTTAGAGAGTCCATAAACCATCCAATTCACTCACCCCTTGCCCTTCAATGACAAAGAACAGACCCTGACATTATTGGAGTCTTTAGCCAATGGCCTGAAGGGGAAGGAAAGGCACTAAATGCCTCTTTTTACCATTCGAGGACAGCAGGATTGTGGGGCCCTATGTTTTGCTGCTTGCCAGCCTTCAGTTATTTGAAGCTATAGAAAATCCTCATCCTCTCTGATGTCTAATGCTGGATTTAAATAACTGGGCAAACTTGGGATACCTCTAGCAAAATGTGCACGTCTCTTTGGTTTCAACTTTGAACTACCTATCAGCATACAGGGTTCATACCTACGTGAGTATGAGAGACCACATGATTTCGCCTAGATACTGCCAGAGAACCCCCATAGAGTCACTCAAATTTTAGAACCGGTGGATGAAGGACCTATGTGATGGTGAAAAATTGCTCTGAATTCAATAGCACTGGCTGAGTGCATGTTTTACTTATTGCAATGCCATCACCCTTGTATACTGTAAACTGGAGCAGGTGCGTACTAGGTTATTATATGTAAGGTCTGCAGCCCATGCTTCGTGGACAAATCAATTTGCAGTCCACTTGCCCTGATTCTGCAGGCCCAGGCAGTCCCCAGCCCAGGCCAGGAAGCCAATTTGCAGAAGCTTGAAAGGGAGGGAGGTGAGGGAGCAAGGATACCACTCCCCAGTTCAATGACTTCCTTTCTTAGTCCTAAGTCCTGGGCTCCTGCAGGCGCTCTTTACCGTCACACCCTTAGCTCTGCTACTGGCCATCGCAGACAGGACTTAAAGCATCTAGCAGACACAAGAACTATCTATCAGGAAACCCCAGGACTCAATACTGGTGAAAAAATCCAGCCTAACAGAAATGATAAACAGGAACCAAATGACAAAACTATGATCTCTTCACATCTTAACATTTCCCACTCCAAAGCCACCCCTACTCTGAATCCTTGACCGTCCACCTCACTGAGAGGAGCAGAATGGGTGTACGATTCGAACTTCTTTTGGGTGTTCTAGTCACACTGTGATCTGAGAAGACAAGCACATTTTCAACCCTTCTAATAAAATCTCTCAAATCACTTCATCTCTCTCAGCCTCAGTTCCCTTACTCGACAAAGAAAGCAGTCTTGGAGGTTTCCCAACATTCTTAGTAACTTTTCAAAATAAGGTTATTAGTCAGGACATCAACATATAATACAGCTGAAAGCTGTGAATGGCCTCTCCAAGCAGCTTGAATCTTACCGAGTTCAAACATCATTACCTCTGGAGCTCCTGCAGAACCCTTCTGAAAGCCTGAGGGTTCCATGGTCACCCAGTTTGAAAGCTGTTGTATTGGAAGATGGTTAAGGCCCTTCTAGGTCTCAAATGCTTTGACGTCCCCATGACCTATGTCCCCCCCCCCCCCACCATGTCAACCCTTCAGAGGGGTGCCGATGGTAGAGAAGCCAAGCTTGCTATTTCTGGTGATTGAGGTTTACAATAAACAAAACCAGCTGTTTTCTCATTACCTATACTTTTTCTTCAGGCAATGGGTCCATTCACTGAACTAATCTGTCTTGCATAGCTGCTTGGATGTGGGTGTGGGGAAGATGGTTGGGTGAGCAGATATCTTTGGTCCTAAGGGTATGAGTCAAGGGTCTCTGCTCTTGAAGCCTGCTTTCTGCCTCTTGGTTTGAGAGAGATAAGCGTTTTTATCCTGCCTGCTACAAGTTTAAGGTCCAATTTTACGCCTAAAATAAGAGGAATAAAAAGCGATCAAATTGCTTGTAGCAAGAACTGAACACCAGAATTCTTGCATTTTCAGAAGTATGTCAATAACTTAGTAATTTACCTTGACTGACATTGAAATGAGTACAATAAGACTGACTATGCACTAAAAAGAGATTTAATGCAGTCTGCAAGGAATTTAGAATGAGTTTTACATTGCTTGATAAAATCTGTTAATAAGAGAACTCATCCCTACTCTGAAGAATGGGATCATTCATCTCATGTAAGATACATAGACATGCGCTTCCACCCAAACACTTCAGAAATTAAGTCAAACTTAAAAAAAAAAAGTATACTGAGTTGTCTTACATTAGTGGGGAAATTATTATTCCTTGCTCAGTTAGAGCTCTCAAGCATCAAGGAAAAAAATCACACGCATTTGGAAAAGGGGGTGACATGACCTGACCTCCTAAGAACACAGATGAAGAAGAGAAGAAAACGGGTTCCGTGTGCTGTGCCAGGCATACTTACCACAAGCTGGCCCCAGCCCTGCCAAGCAATGCTTCATGATCCATCATGTTCATCTTTAACGAGCCCAAGAGCTAGAAAGTGTGTATCCCAGATTTTCTCAAATACTCAGATTTGCAACAATTTTTTTTATTTTTATCATACTTTAAGTTTTAGGGTATATGTGCACAATGTGCAGGTTTATTACATATAAGAATCCAACCACAACTTGACTGATTTCATCAAGCAGCATTGCTCCATTTTACAAGAGAGGAAACGGGCTCAGGACAGGACACATAAGCACCTGACAGTAAATATTTTAGGTTTTGCAGACCATACAGTCAGTTCCATCACCACCCCCAGAGGGTCACACGAGGACTCCCACACTCCGCTCTTCCCACACCTGGGCTCCTGCTCGAAACCTCTGCTGAACAGCCTGCTTGAAAATCCACCGGAGTATTCTGTTGATAAGGAAATGTCTGGGCCTCAGATTTCCCGTGCTGCTTGTGTAAATCTTACGAGGAAAAGTTGTGCAGCTCCTTTCATGCTTCTGGATTCAGTGCCACTTGGCTGTGCAGATTTCTAAAAGCTTTTGAATAGACTAATAAACATGGAATTGTTCTGAACATCTGTAAGCAAAATATGAAAAGATATTACCCAGTGAATGAACATCCTGGGTTTTCTTGCCAGAAATGGGGTATTTGTATATTAGGCTAATGCACTGAAATTAACCCAGAATGCTTATCCATTGCAGAATGTCTTTTCATATTTTCATCTGTACAGTCGTTATTACAAAATGTAAGAATAATTCTCTATCAGAGTATTCAGGAATCTGAATAGCTCAATTACTTCTAAAATCAATGTAGTAAAGCAACAGCATGCCAGTTAATCAGTTGGTTTGCATAACAACTGTTTGAGGGTGTGTGTGTGTGTGTGCATGTGTAAAGAGAAAACCAGTGTCAGCCCAACTTCTTAAAACAAATGTGAAAGATCAAGCTTTCATTTGACTATAGAGAAAATTCTGGAAGACAGGAACTAGTATTCTTTACATCAAAACCAACCTTCCCCTAGGACCTGGTGCAATGCTTTACATGTGGCACCTTTCCAGTAAGTGGCATATTTAATTTATTCAAGTAAGGCCTATATACAAGTTAGGCTCCTCATGGCTATTCCAGTCCACGTTCTGGGTTCTCTAGTGCCAGCCAGATGCTGAGCTTGTAGGAAACAGAAATGGATGGATGAATCTTTGGACATCATTTTAGGTACAAAACAGTGGCCACTAAGACATGAATTACTTCTCAGCACATCTCTTAGAGACAGATCAGAAATGCATCAGAACATGGCCCAACAGAGGTCTGCTGGCCATGAGAGATGCTACCCTGTGTCCCAGCCAAGACTGGGTGCCTGGTGCAGAAGCTGGTGGTGGGTGGCTTTCAGAGGGGTTAGAATTCAGGCCCAAAACATCTGGGTGAGGTAAGTTTCTCAGCCTGTGCGCTATTGGTTCAGTGCTTAATGAACCTGAGGAAGGGAAGATTATAGGTTACTTAAAAGTTACATACACTTTTAAAACAGGTTTAAATGAAATTATGGGCACATGCAAGGGATAGGAAATCTCCAGGGAAATGCAGGAGGCAACTGAAGCCTTGGAAGATCATGGAGGTCCGACCAAAACTCTGTTTTTGTCATATAACTCAGCCCGAGGTTAACTCAATTTGGAGAGAATGACCTGTGCAGACTAAACTCACAATAGACTGAGATATATATCTCAGAGAGGCATTTTATTGAATTCTAAATAAGAATTAGAACTGTCTGCCTGACTAACCTGATTTCATTGCATTTTCTTTCTGTAAATAATCCCCACAGGAGGACAAAAGATTAGAAAGTTTTACAGAGTATGGATCAGAACACGAGGTTAGTGATACAACTTAAAAGTGCCAGGGTATCAGGCTCTGTGGGTCTGCCCAGAACACCCAAGAGAGTGGCCAGGACCTCCCCTCTCCCAGGCTGTTCTAGCTCACCAACCTCCTACTGAGGACCTATGCTCCTTTTACACAGTCAGGGCATTCCACTAGGTTACTCTGAAATCCTACAGACACAGAAACCAATCTCTCTTCCAAGTGACTGTCCATCTCCACTGTGATTCAGAGCAGGCTGATTTTATACTGCCACTCTCAATGGGCGACTTTATTCTAAATTCCTAAGAGACCGCCCCCTTGTATTCTCTACGCATGTCGGGTGCAAGTGGCACCAAGCAATGGAGACTGCCCACCATGAACAGCCCCATTAGTGAGCCCACGATGGGGACACCTCCTCTCTCAGCTACTATGAGAAGCCATGTTATCTTTTCTATATGCCTAGTCACAACTCCGATTTGGGGTTCAGAGTCACTGGCCTATCAATTTCCACATAGAAATACCATTCGGACATGAATCCACACCCTCTCTGGACACACACTGCTTCTACACTCACATCCACACTCTCTCGCTCACTTCTCCCCTGTTGAGGCTGTGCAGACCCACTGGCACAGCAGGGGTAGCAAACTTGAGCCGATAGTTCCTTGGCCTGTGTTCACCCACCTGTGTGCTGAGATAATGCTTGTGGAAGCTCTGATGTGCGTCATCACATAAGAGGTTGCACAGAGCGGTGGTAAAGCTGGCCCTGTGGATTCTGTTAACCCCTCCTCCTATATTTCTGGCATCTGCCCCAAGAAACCACATGGTACCTTAAGCTCAAGCATACCGCTTTATGAGAGAAGGAATCTGCACACAATCCAGGTCTCTATGCTTCTTTTCTTGACAAAATAAAAGTAAAAATCTTTACAAAATATTCACGGATTGTGATCAAAGTTTTACAAACTTAATTGCAAGCAGATACTAGAGTACAGACTAGTATTTCTCCCACAATGGACCTCAGCAATTACTATGCATCTTACCAGAGCCTTGGGGTTTTTGTTTGTTTGTTTGTTTATTTTCCTTCTCTTAAGTCAGACCACTCCAGGGCTGACTTGTTCAGCAAGGCTTTGAGCACCAGAGGCTTCAGAGGGGAGGCCCGCCAGTGTAACCTGCTTTATGTCTCCCCCACCCCTCTCCTTGGTCAAAAATCTTTAATTAGCTGCTTACCATAATTACTCTAGCGAGGGACCTTATTTGTTCTCCTTCCCTGTTATTCCCAGGGATCTGAAGGCTGTACCACTTCTGTGCCAGAGGGACCTTTCTATCATAGCTCCTCTCTGCCTTTTTGTTTTTCCCTTTTATGATCAGAACAACAACAACAAAAAAGCCTAGGGAAAGAAATCGTCTCTCCTTCTGTGTATGGGTAAGACCCTATAACTATCCCTTTCCAATCAGGAACAAGTTTCCATGACAACCATGCTTCCCAATGCTACTGTTAACTTAGCAGGTAGTGTTCATATCCAATCGAGTTCTTTACCAGTCTCTGTGGTTTCCGTACTTTACCACTTGCTAGAGGCCTCTAACATACCAGCTGTTTGCATTAACTGGCTTGGCCCTTTTTCCTTCTAAACATAAGAAAGACAAAAGAATTTCCTTGGCATTCTCCTTAATCATTTAAAAGCACACTAATATAATTAAAAATATACCAGAGGGACATATATGAAAGAGAATTTGTGACTTGGTGGAAGAAAGTGCAAAGGGATGAATGGAGAATGGCTGGGATATGATGACAGCTGGGAGACTTACACCATGGTCAATGGCATAGACTTTGAGCTGAGAGCTAATGAGGGAGGGATTCCTGCTAGGTATGACCTTAGGTAAGTTATTTATCCTCTCTGAGCCTCTACACTCCCTCTGTAAAAGATAGAAGCTGACATACTTCATGGAACTGCTTAGAGAAAAGCAAAGACAGAAAAAGTGCTTATTACAGTGTCTGGCATATAGCATGAGTTTAACACATGGCAATTATCATGTTGTTATTAAGGTAAACAGCTGAACTGAAAAGGGTTCGAGCAAACAAGGAATCACAATATTCTAACTGATTGTTAACATTTTGCTGCTTGAGGATAATAGGTATAAAGCAATAGATACTTGGAGGTTTTCTTAGCAACCTTTTTCTCTTAGGCCATTAAGTCACGTCTGGAATTACAGGAAGGAATCTACTCATTTCCATTCCTAAGACTTGAGAGGATACACCTGGGTGATCTCCAGGATTCATTTGAGTCTATTTATAGCTATGCATAAGCGTTTAATTTTGAAACAGAAGTTAAAAAAAAATAGGATAACCATTAAAATATTTGTTTGTTACACCACATTCTCCATACGAATCAGAATATTTCAATCCTTCTCTAGAGCAAGAAAAAATAAGAACATGCACATTTTTATAATATTTTCATTGTTGTACAGCTCAATTTTTATTTCAAAATAGAATTCATATTGTAGCAAACACATCAACATGCTCACTATTCACCAAGCTCCCAAACTCCAGCTTTTCCCCTCCATCATTCATGGTGCCCTCGGAGGGCTGAGCGCATCCTCCACAAACCACACTTATTTAAGACTTTATTTTAGAAAGATAAAACTGTTTACATTTTACACCCCATTTTCATCAATAATAGTGGACTATAACTCCAGATACTCCCTCCCTATTAAGACCTCTTAAAATGGTGAATATAATTTTTTTTAGAAAAACATTTCAAATGCTATCTGAGCTGGCAGGAAAGGAAAGGAAATCCTTTAGGTCAGAAACAAGTCCAGAGAGGTAATCTGGTATTCGAGACAGAATTTGCCATGAGGGCATCTGCCTACCCTGTTAGCCTAGAATAGAGGTCAGCAAATTTTTTTCCTGTAAAGCACCCAACGGTAAATATTTTAGGCTTTGCAGACCACATAGTTGGTTGCAAGCACTCAACTCTTGTAACTGTAGCATGAAAACACTCATAGATAATATATAATAATAACAATGAGAATAGCTGTGCTTCAACAAAAATTTACTTATATAGATAGGCAGCAAGTGGGATTTGGCCTATAAGTCAAGTCAATAGTTTGCTAGGCAGCAAGTGGGATTTGGCCTATGAGTCAAGTCAATAGTTTGCTGATCCCTGCATTATAGCACGGCTTTCAGTGTTTTTCCTTACAGAAAACACAACCAGTATCTGAAATGTCTGTCTCATGTGGTAGATTGTTGAAATAATGGTCCCGATTCTTGATACCTCCTATATCCTTGCCTTTGGGGAGCCATCCCATATTGGCTCTGGTCTAGCTAGCGCATATGACTTGCTTTGGCCAATGGTATAAAAGTGAACGTAACACAAACAGAGAATGGGCCTCATCCTCTCTTGCTGCTCTTAGGTTCTCTGCATCCACCACCATGTGAATTAGCTCAGGCCAGTGTGCTGAAGACATATGGTCCATCATCCCCATTACCCCAGCTGGCAGTTAGTGCTAACCAGCAGCCAGCACCAACTGCCAGGCCAAAGAGTAAAGCAGCCTAGGCTGACTAGCCCCCAGGCAACCCACAGGTTGACCTTAGCCACATGAGCAAATCCCAGGTGAGGCTAACAGAAGAACCATAAAGCTGAGCCCAGCCTCAACTGCTGATCATCAGAATTACAAGCTAATAAAATGACTGTTTTAAGCCACCATGTTTTAGAGTGGTTGTTCCACAGCAAAAGCTAAATGGTGCACTCCACAGGAAGATTATCATCTTCTAAACATATAAAGTGAGAAGCTCACAAGTATATATACACAAATAATAAAGATTGAAGAAACATTTTTAAAAAAACATATTTCCATTTTAAAGAGCCTGTCACCCAACAGTAGTGACAAGCCCTCCCTTGTTTCTCCTAGTAATACAATAAAGCAAATTCTTCCTACCTGAGCAGACTTCTTTATAAGTAGGATTTGAAGTATAGCCTCCTGCAAAACCAACTTGAGTTGAATACACTCCTTTCAAGACCCAGAATTTCCTTTCAGCTCCCCAGAAACATCCCATTCCTTAAAAAAGAAAAAAGAAAAAAAAAGGATACTGATTATTCAAAACAAAGTGGTCATTGCACATCCACATACACCTGTTACATGAAGAAAAAAAAAAAGTTGCTCCTGTCATTTGATAACCAAAAATGACTAAGATTTTATCTTTTAAAGAAGGAGAGTTCTTAACATTGGTAAATAATTTTATTTACAATTATTTGCATAGAATATCTCTTTGCTTTAGCTGTGCAAAAACTTAGAAGGCCTCAAATTTAAAGGAGTTAGTAAATCTACACATTTCCAAATAACACAGTAAGGGGGTAACTATTTTCATATTTCCACATCCAATTCATAACTTGAATCAATAGAAAATTTACTGAATGATCCACTCCCTGGTCACATATTTTTAAAAAAATATTTTACCAAAGTATAGCACTAAGTTACCCATTTTAATGTGAAAACTTCCAAAATCAACATAAATTCATGCATATTTCCAATTAACAATGTCACATATGTGTTTAGTTTTCATTTTTTTAATCACTATAAACTTGCATGTGATAAATCACTGCTTACCCAAAAGTAAATTTTTCTGAGTTTTATTTCTGGATATAATGAACGCAGGAGAAGGGTTTGGAAGGGAGGCAGGGAGAGAATGACAACAATAAACAAACTCACAAAAGTAGCACTCCATTCAACTAGCAAACATTGTGTGTATACCAGTGGGCACAGGATCTCTTTGAACATCTGATGAAAATCACAACCCATCTCCCAAGAGCACACACACTCACGCACGTCGCAAATGTTGCCATGCACTTCCTTGGGCTCCAAATACAGAACCTTCATTTTGTACCATAAGTTTCTAAACTGTCCAGTACAATTGGTGTTCTATGGCCCACTTCTAGATGTAAAAAAGATTACTGCCTCACTCAAATTTTATATGGCTTTATGAAGTTACGTATAACTGAGATCCTGAGTGGAACAACAGTTGGCAAATTAATATACACTATACACCTCCCACTCCTACACTCACTCGATTTACCAGATTTGACGACAGAGCTGAAAGATAAATTAGAAGTTTACTGAAATTCTTGACACTCTTTAATATTCTACTCTAAAAATCCAAAGCAACAAAACCCAAAAAGTAATTTGAATAAAGTTATATATTATACAAAGATATTCTATTTGCTAAAATGTGTTAATCAAAAATAGGTTAAAATAAAAATATAAGGCCAAATAATAAAATTTAATGCAGTAAAAAATTATTTTGTGATAATATTGCAACATGGAAATATGTTTGTGATATCATAATTACCTAAGGCTAAAGTAAAAAGGAAAAAACACAATTACATGCACTTTTATTATAACTACTAAAGATTTTCACACCAAAATTAGACTGGAAGAAAATATACTAAGTATACTAAAGTGATAATAACCACTACTGTATTACAGTGGTGACAATTTAGGAATATTTTTTCATTCTTCAAATTTTTCTGTAATAAATTCCTATTACTTTAAGAATAAAAAATTTACATTTTTAAAGAAAAGCAAAATATTCAAAGAAATAACATAAGAATCTGCTTATGCTTATGTTACCCGCCACTATACCAGTTTACAAGTGAATTGCTTGCTGCTAGTGAATATAAATAAATATTTATTGAGTATCTATAAAAATTAAGTATCCACAGGTCTCCGGCAAAAGCATTCACTATTAATTTTCCTTTGTTGTATTCCTTGGGATGAGGGGAGGATGATAGGGATTCTCTGGAAAAGGACAAGCTGTAGGTGAGTGGAGCAGCTTCACTGCACATAAATGACCACGAGAGCTCCAGGATCTGTGCAGAGCACCAGGCAGAAGGCAGCCCACCCCTGAAGTTCAGGAGTCTGCAGAGTTTGTTGAATAAAATATTTCTGTGCTGCACAACGACTAACAGCGATGGCACCAGAGAGCACCAGAATCCTTCAACCTTCACGTACAAGGTCCGTGGCAGGCCATTTTAGTAGCTAGCCTGTCCTGACCTTTGCCCATGGTCCCACTCCAATAGCCCCAGGTTTTTAAAACTTAAAATGTTCTTGGCCAAACCAAGCAAAACATTAGCTGCAAGTAGAGAGATATGTAATCCCCTTTTAATGCTTAATAGGGATCAAGAAATGACCCCATGAGGAGGAGGATGAATGACCAGGATGCAGGTGGGCAAGGGTCTGGGGTGCCACGTGTGGCTGAAACAGCGTCTCAGGGACTGGAATATGGTCAATGTCCACATTTCTGGAGAGGAATGTGACTTAGGACACAGGTTGTTAGGAGGATAAAACTCCATGAAGCAACATTTCAACTAGCGGCTGCAGGTTTAAGCTAAACATTCTATTATGTGGCTTTGAAGGTGTGAGTGTGAAAATGTGTGTGTGTGTGTTTAAACAAAGAAAACAGGCTTATTTATAGCAAAATTACTCATAAATTTCAATAATCTGGTAATCATTATGAATATCAGCAAATAAAATATAGTATGCACTATTTTCTTTAAATACTTATTTTTAGCCTTTTGTTATAAAACAAAACTGATGCAAAAAAAACACACAAAACAAACATATATTTCAATGCACTGTTATTAGGCAAACACCCTTACAACCACCACCTGGGTCAAGAATCAGAAGTTTGCCATCTACCCTAGACATGCCTCCCTGTGTGCTACACTCCAATCCCAACAGAAACCTTATAGCCCAAAAAGCAACCGTTATCTGACTTTCACAGTAATCACTTCCTATGTTTCTTACACTTTATCATCTAAGTGTCCACCCCTGACATTATAGTCTTGCTCATTTTTTTAAATTTGATACGTCTTTAAGTTCTTTTTTTTTTTTGAGATGGAGTCTCCCTCTGTCACCCAGGCTGGAGTTCAGTGGCGCAATCTCGGCTCACTGCAACCTCCACCTCCCGGGTTCAAGCAATTCTTCTGCCGCACCCTCCCTAGTAGCTGAGATTACAAGCGCGTACTACCATGCCCGGCTAATTCTGTGTTTTTAGTAGAGATGGGGTTTCACCATGTTGGCCAGGCTGGTCTCGAACTCCTGACCTCAGGTGATCTGCCCCCCTCCGCCTCCCAAAGTGCTGGGATTACAGGCGTGAGCCACCACATCTGGCTGTCTTTAAGTCATTTTAATCAACACATTGTCTCCATTCTTTTCCTTTGACCTTATCCCTTGAAGATCACAGTCTACTTGACCTGTTCAGTTTCTCACACTGTGGATTCTGAGGACTGTGTTCTCATGGTGCAATTCAATTCACACAACCGTCCTCAGAGGACAACTTTCTGCAAGTTGACAATTGGATCCAGAGGCTTCATCAGACTCAGACTTGATCCTCTGGCAAGACTAGAGGTGGGGCTATGGATGGTCTTTGATTAGAAAGCACAAAATGTCTAGTTGTCTCTTTCATGTCTAGTTAGCATTGATGGGTGCTCAATGCCTAGATGTATTAATTCCTGGAGAGTTGCAAAATAGTGATCTTCTAATTCTATCACTTCATTTTCATACCTTATAATGAAAAGCTTCCCCTCAGCTACTACTTTGTTACTCAGTGGTACAATTCACATGGGACAGGGAAGATAAATGCTTGCTTCATCCATTTACATAGTGTCTTCAAGATGACGAACTTGCTATCTCCCAGGCTAATCGAAGAGTTTTTTAAACATCATCACAAACATATTCATTTAAACATATTTGATCGTTTCAATGACTGCCCTCATGTAAGCTTCAGCAGTCATATCTTTGGCCAGTGAGACCCTCTTCAAATTGGCTCCTTCTCCTCAGTTGTCTCATAGCTTCTTTGCTCTCTGGTTTGACAGGATGTCCCAGACTCACCTTGCACATTTCCTACCCCAGTCCCAGAATCGACCATTTCACCAAGAAGCCTAGTTTAATGGGAAAAAGCACTTCAAGATCATGACATGGGTGATAATGAAGCACACTGCACAGTGCACACCATGGCAGCCATGGAGCACTAGGGGATGATGTGGCTGAAATTTCCCATCAAAAGGTAAGTCCCATCAGACCCACCAGATTATAAGGTCAAGGGGCTACAGCCACAGTCTATCATAAAGAGGAAGTTGTACATCGGGAATCATGCACAAGCAGGACCAGAGGGCACGCGTGAGCTGCACGAATAGGAAGCCAGACTCCCCCAGCACCCACCAGGCTGCACCAACTCCCTCCCTCACTTCGCACCTACGGCTGTGTGGCGATCCTGTAAAACCAGCTGGGGGCAGAGAGAAAGGCCGATTTGGGGGATGGGGGTGTGGGGGGTGGGGTGTTGAATGGTTGGTTTGTTATATGGGTGCAGGCTGGAAATGCAGGGCAGCTCCACTGCAGCCTTACTCTAGAGTGGCCAGGAAAGACAGGGGTAAGGGAAAAATTCTCCCAACTGGTTCCTTCAGAGAGGGAAGAATAGCCCAAGTTCAGGACAGCTGTGGACTCAAGGGCAGCAGCAAGTGGCTTGGCTGCCTAGTCAGAGGCCAGAAACACAAAGACTGGAAGAGGAAGAATTAGGAAATCTGGGGTAGAGAGACATAGGTGGACATGTGGGAGTGAGTATGCAGCATGAAGATCTCTTTACCACATGATAATGCCAGCCAGAGGGCATCTACCATGAAAGAGGCACTCATCCACAAAGCATGGAAAGGGGCCCAGCCAGGGGATGCCAGCCAGTGTCTTCACTGGCTACCCTAGTACCTGCGTAATGGATGCAGGAACGAACTGGCCACAATGGCAGAGATAGGTTACACATGGCCCAACAGCATGCACACCCGCTCACCAAGGTCCACCTAGCTACTGCCACCACCAAATGTCCAAATGGCCAGCAACAGAGACTGTCACCAAGTGCCTCACACAGCACCACTCCTTGAGAGGACCAACCCACCATAAGGTGGCAAAGGATTACACCGGGCCCCTTCCATGCTGAAAGGGCCAGTGATGTGTTCTTACACTCACATACATGTATTCTTGGCACGTGTTTGACTTTCCTGCCTTCAGGGTCTTGGCCAACTTCTGTCCCCTAAATAACATCCATCAGACCAAGCAACTCACTTTGCAGCAAGGAAAATGCAGCAGTGAGCCCACAGCTGCTTTCCACCTGTTTTATTTTACTGCACGTCACCAGGAACTGCCGTCCTGAAAAAGCACTGGAATAGCCCCAAGGCACAGCCACAGCACCAGTTCAGTGAACAAACTCTGTGCAGGTGGGTGCCGGACTCCAGGACACTGAATCAAACACTCCAAAGGTAGGGACACACCATGTTCCCCAAATGAATAATACACGTGTTTGGAAAGCAAAGGAGAGAAACAGGATTGACTTCATTTACTATCTCAGGGACCCATCGGGAGACTTTGTAGCTTTTGTTCCCACACTCTTGGCTCTGTAGAGTTAGAGGTCCTAGTCCCCAAAACAGTACACTTTTATCTGGGAATATAGCAAGACTCCATTGAGTTATAAGATACAGCTATTGCCTGGGCACTCTGGGATCACTGCTACAGGGACAAGTAGGCAAAAGGAGTTTGCCAGGTACAATCGTCCTATAAGCAGTGTAGGAGGATCTCTGTTGTGCCACAGCCTTGCAAGCATTTGGTGTTACAAAGTATATAAATATTTGCCAATTGGATGGGCTTAAAATCATATTTCGAGCCAGGGGTGGTGGCTCATGCCTGTAATCCCGGCACTTTGGGAGGCCAAGGCAGGTGGATCACAAGGTCAAGACATCGAGGCCATCCTGGCCAATATGGTGAAACCCCGTCTCTCCTAAAAACACAAAAATTAGCTGGGCATGGTGGTACATGCCTGTAGTCCCAGCTACTCATGAGGCTGAGGCAGAAGAATTGCTTGAACCTGGGAGGCAGAGGTTGCAATAAGCCGAGATTGCACCACTGCACTCCAGCCTGGCAACAGAGCAAAACTCCATCTTAAAAAAAAAAAAATTATGTCATATACATAGCTAATCACCACTGAGGTTGAGCATCTCTTCACATAGTATATGGGCCACTCACGTACACTCGTTTATAAAGTGCCTCTGTTCATTTTTCTATTGGGTTCTTCTATTTTTCTTGGTTTGTTGCAATTTTTATGTTTTGAATGCTATTTTTTGCCAGTTATATGATTACAGATATTACCTCATATCTGATTTGCTTTTCCCTTCACTTATGTCTATTGTCATACAGATGTTTTAAATTTGAATGTTCTTAAATTTCTCTATCTTTTCCTTTATCATTTATGTTTTCTGTACCTTGTATAAGAAGTCCATCCATATATAAAGATAAAGATAATATCCTATATTTTCAGAAGCTTTAAAATTTTAAGCTTAATTTTAGGTTGTTAGACCATATGGAAATAATTTTTATGTAGGGGGTGAGGTGGGGATTCAGTTTACTTTTTTCCATATTCATAACCAAGAATCCCAAATAAATTGTTATTAAATAATCCATTATTTCTCCCACTTATCTCCAATGTTACCTTTATATGACATCGTTGTAAGTAGTCCCGTTTCTGGGCTTTCTGTTACGCTCCATTCATTTGTCTATTCCTGCACCAATCCTATACTGTTTTTTCATCATTTATTCAACAAATATTTTTTCAGTGCCTACTATATGCCAGGAAGTGCTCTAAGCACCCAGGATAAATGAGTGAACAAAGCAAACAAGATCCTACCCTGTTTAGTGTGTATACTCTAGTGGGAAAAAGATTAAAAACACCAAAAATCCTAGGTAGATGACATAGTTTGAAGGTAACAAGAGCTATAAAAAATGAAAAGAAAAGCAGAGCAGGTCAGAGAGATCAGGTGGGCTGGGAAAGCACAATTTTAAATAGGGTGAGCCTCCAAGGGAAGGTGACTGCAAACAAAGCCATGGAGGCAGTGAGGCACTCACCCATTCAGATATCCCCAGCAAGGGGTAGAGAAAGCAGTCCTACAGGGGCAACAAGAATGTGCCTGCTATTTCTAAGGGGCAGGAAGGAAGCCAGTGTGGCTTGAGTGGAATAAACAAGGAGGAAGTAGCAGGACAAAGATCAGATAAGCCAGATAGTGTAGGACCTTGTGGGATGGTTAAGGACTACGGATTTTACTCTGAGTAAAATGGGTAGCCACATTGGAGTTTTGAGCGGGAGAGGAAATGATAAAACTTATGTTTTACAAAATCACTCTGGCTGTCCTCGGTTGAGAATAGACTAGAGTGAACCAAGCACAGATGCAGTGAATGGTTAAGAAACTATGGCTGTAATCCAAGTGAGAGATAATGGTGGTTTAGACCAAGTGGTGGTGGAGGAAGTCATGGGTCATGATTAGAATCTGGATATATTTTGAAGATAGAGCCAAAAGGATTTCCTGACAGATTTGACACAGAGTTTGAGAGAAAGAGAGGGTTATGGCTGACTCGAAGATTACTGGCTTAAGTGGGGAACCTTGTGGATGGAGCAGACGTGTAGGAAAAGATCAGGCGGTTGTAATCAGGCTAGTTTTAATGAGTCAAAATACCTAGTAGAGTAAGTCTTCTTACCTTATACTTCTTCAAATTTTTCTTTGTTACTCTTGGCCTATTACTATTCAGCTTTAATATCAGCTTGTCAAATTCCATAACATATCCTTTAAAATTTTTAAATAGAATTTTATTGAACTTAGATGAATTTGGAAATATTTTGTCATATTAGTAATTTGGTTTGGACACACAAGTTTATTTGTAAATTTAGTCAACATATATAATTGACCTACAAATGTCAATAGAAAGATAAATTTTAAAACCACCTGGAAGCCCATCTCTATAAAAGTGATTTTCCCAGGACAGTAGCCAGATGTAACCTAACCCAACATCATCTTAACTGGCAGACATTCAGTGGGCTGGAGCTTTGCGCTCCACCCCCACACCAAGTTTTTATAATACAAATGCCACAAGAAAAACAACTTCAGTATTGTTTCCTCTTAGCAGAGGAGAAAAACTCAACCTAGTTATGAGACCAACCACAACACAATGAAAACCTGCATTAACTAGTTCAGAATATTACTTAACAGGTGATTTTAGTGTGAATAACTCATATTTTATTCTAGAGCCCTTATAAATAAAATCCCGCAGTGAGTGTTTGTACTATCAGCTAGAGGGTTAGTTAACATGTGGTAGAATGAGGACTTACGCAAGGTTTTATTTTACTACTATGAAAACAATAACATAGCTCTCCACTTATTCAAGTCTTCTTGGATGTCCTTCAATACCATGTTATAATTATAATTTTCTCCATAAAGATCTTAAGCATTTGGCCAGACATGGTGGCTCACGCCTGCAATCTCAGCATTCTGGAAGGCCGAGGCAGCCAGATCACCTGATGTCAGGAGTTCAAGACCAGCCTGGCCAACATAGTAAAACCCCATCTCTACTAAAAAATACAAAAATTAGCCAGGTGTGGTGGCGTGCACCTGTAGTCCCAGCTACTCAGGAGGCTGAGGCAGGAGAATCGCTTGAACTCAGGAGGCAGAGGTTGCAGCGAGCTGAGATTCCACCACTGCACTCTAGCTTGAGTGAGCGAGTGAGACTCCATCGCAAGAAAATAAAGATCTTAAATATTTGTATTACATATAGTTCTATGTACCCCATGATTTGTGGTGCTGTTATAAATACTGTTTTTTCTACTATACTTTTTGATTACTTAGTGCTGGTGTATAAAAACACCCTGATTTTAGTATGCCTTCCATACAGCCAGAAAGAGTAGAGAATTCTATTAGTTCTAATGGTTTGACTCCACCTTCTCATTGATTTCCTATACAGAAAGTTATATTCTGTACAAATGAGTTTTCTGTCTCCCTCTCCCATTCTTATTCTCCTGCCTTTATCTCATTGTATTGCATTGGCCTAGGACCTTCCATACAATGCTGAATAATGACAATGCTAGGAATCCTTGTCTCATCTTAATATTAGTGGGAAGGATCCAATAAATATGAGATTTACTGTAGGTTTTTGCAAGATATCCTTTATCAGGTTGAGAAAGTTTCCTTCCATTCTTACTTTGAAAAGCTTTTTATCATGCATGAGTTCTGAATATTAACAATGCATGCTTTCTTCTGAGATGATCATATGTTCTCCCTCCTTTAATCTCTTAAGGTAGTATATTACATTAACAGATTTTTCTAAATCATCTTTCAGTAAATCTTACCTACTCATAGAGCATTTTAACACTGAACTACCTGTGCTATTTTATTTCAGATTTTGTCATTTACGTTCCTTATGAAGATTTATTATAACTTTATTTTCTTATATTGTCCTTGTCCAGAATTGGTATCAAGGTTATACTGGCCTCAGAAAATTGGTTGGCTAGCCTTTCTTATTTTCTCTCCTATGTAACACCGCATTAGAAAAAAAATTATTTGTTCCGTGAAGTTACAATAAAATTTCCTGAAGCACCTGGACTTTGGAGAGAAGGAAGAGAATCATTAGGGGATGCTTTGTTTCATTGTCATGTATTCATATTTTTATATCTCTCTTTTTAGAGGTTTTCGTTGCAGAGCAAACCTTGGGTTTCACTGATCCTCTTTATCATCTTTCCTTTCTGTTTTCTATTTCTGCTCTTTCTTTACTATTATCTTGTTTTGCAGTTTACTTTTTGGTCTGTTAGTCTGCTCATTTCCTACCTTCTTGATATGAATTATTAGCTTATTTATTTTCAAGTGTTCTTTTCTAATACATGTTTTTAACCTCTAAGGTTTGTTCTAGATACATCTCACGTATAGATATGTAGTACTTTCATTGCCATTCTCTTCTGATGTAATTTCCATTTCATTTCCTTCTTAATCCATGAATTACTTAAAAGTATACATTTTTGCTTTCAAACATATGGCCTGTTATACTACCTTCACAATTTTATTTCCGATTTGATTGCATCATGTTAGAGAATGTGGTCTTCATTATTTTGAAATTTGTTCAGACTTATTTTGTCACCTACAACCTGGTGAATTTTTGTAACTATTCTATGTGTGCTTGAAAAGCATAAAATTTCTCTCTATGTGTTTCTTAGGTACAGGGTTTTACAGACATTTATGGACAAGCTTATCAATTTGTTATGTAAATCATCTATATCTGTTTAATTTTCTGGCAAATTGAGACATCTGATTCTTAGAGATTCAATTAAAATTTCCTCCTGTGATTGTGAATTTTTTGATTTCTCTTTTAGTTCTGTCAGTTTTTCTTTTACACAGTTTAGGCTATGCTATTAGCATACACAAGTCTTATTATCCTCTTGCTACTATTCCTTTTGTTATTGTTTAGTATTTTTAATGCTATTAAAGTCTTTTGTTCTTAAAATTATTTTTTCTAATATTAAGATACCTACATTACCTTTTTTGTATTCATTTACCAGGCGTATGTTTTCCCAGTCTTCTTTTTTAACCTTTCCATGTGTCTTTATTTTAGGTGCATTTCTTGTAAGCAGCATATAACAGGATTTTGGTTCTTAGCCAATTTGATAATCTCTTCCTCTAATTAGTAATTTTAATATATTTACTCTGGCTATTTAAACTTCTTTCCATAACCTCATTTTGTGTTTTCTACTTACCATCCTCTTCCTTTAATTTCTTTTCCCTCATTTTCTCTCTCCTATTAGTCTTTTCTGACTGCCTTTGACCCTTGGCCAATTTGGAGGCAAAACGAAAAAAAAATCTGTTCTTCTAGTGTTTACCCTTACAATTGTTACATACCCACTTCACTATGTTTTCCAAACCAAGTCTAAAGTTAGTATTTCTAACCTTCTCCCAAACTCAAAACCCGCCACACTGAACAATCTCTATCTCATTACCGCAGTGTAAAGATTTGCCTTTTTTATTTTCTTCTAACACACACACAGAGGGTTATTTTTTTAAAATTGCTTCAGTGATCAACATTTTAATCATTGTTTAACTAATTACTGTTTCTTATGCTTCAGGTCTCTCCTTTAATTCTTCATCTTACTGAAATATATCTTTAAAAGGGTTTTATAGTAACTGTCTATGAGTTATAAAATCTCTTAAGTCTTTTTATATCTGAAATATTTCTATTATGTCTATACTATCGAATGTAAGTTTAGCTGGGTATACATTTCATCAATACTTTGAAGATGTTACTCCATTGTCTTCTCACGATCATTGGCACTCATAAGCCTGCTGTCAGTCTGATGGTCATTTCTTTGTAGGCAATGTCTTTTCTTTCTACAGTTATTAATATTTTTTCATTATTCTTAATATTCTGGGGTTTATTATAAATCTAGATGTCATTCATTTTTATTTATCTTGCTTAGGGCTTAAAATATACTTTGAATATGATGATTCACATCTTCATTTCTAAAAAGTCTTCAGCTATTATATTCTCAAATATTGCTTCTCCACTATTCTCGCAATTCTATTTCTCCAGAACTCCCTTTACATGTCAGTTGACACATCTCAACTTATCCTCTGTGTCATTTAACTGCTGATTAATTGATAGATACATTCTTCTTTTTCCTGCTCTATGTGCATCAGAACTATTCACTAAAACATTAACTAAGTTCCTCATCAACTGGGTTCAATCTAAGAGTTCCAGGTATGGAATTATTTCAGTAGCTATTTTTTATTCCAAGTTTTATATTTAGTTCTTTTATTTTGCCTGTTTTCTGTCATAGTTTATTATTTCTTCACTGACCTCTTTGAACATCCTAAACACACATTTTAAAATGCTTTTGTTTGTTATAAAAAATTAACTCGAGTCAATTTATATTTCATTTCTTCATATTGTTGCCTCCTTTCTTTCCATTATTCATATTCTTTAGAATTTGAGTTTGCAGGCTCATTTTCACAGTTGCACACACATGGGTGTGTCACCTTGGGCAGAAGGCAAGAAGAGAGAAGCACTTTCAAGTTGTACCTACACGAAGGTGATTAGAGTTTCCAGGGTTCCCTGCTGCAGCAGTGGCTACAACAAGAAACAGGTAAACCCCAGAGGGCCTGGACTAAAGCATAAAAGGTACCTCTTCCGGGATATATCTGAATTGTTCCTTACAAAATATTTAACCTAAGGTGATACTGATGACAGTGGTCTGAAAACTGGCCTTTGGAAGTCATAGACACAATGAATTTACCTGTCACCACCACCACCTCCCCTAGGAACTTCTGAAGGACATCTACATTCCGTAGAAATAAAGTTTTAAATTGAAGGAAAAAAATATTCAAACTTACATCATGACTTAAGCACCTAAGAGACTTAAAGAACATATCAAAATTACAACTGTGTCACTGAATCAAATTTACATTTTTGACACAATCATTACAAAATCATTACTTGGTAAGAATTTTCCAATAGTCCTACTGGATTGTTTTTATTTAGAATTACCTTAAGATTCCTGCATTTCTACTCACAATTTTAATCTGTCATTACTCATGAATATCTGTGTCTATGAGATTTTTTATTATGAGATTTTAGTTTCCCTTAAGATTTGGGTTCTCATATGAAATCTTCAGGAAGAACTTTAAAGAAAGTTCAAATTTTCATAAAGCCCTTTTCCAAACACATTGACACTCCAAATTTTGACCTGACTGGTAAAGATCTGTGATTGTGATTGTTCAAATGTGATTCTCTAAAAATACCTAAGAGGCCGACCACTACATCTTCCGCACTCATGAAAGGCAGTTTTCCAGATCTGACATGTCCTATGGGTTCACTACATAAATTGGCTAGGGCAAGTTCTACTAACTAGTACACTCCATTCTCTTGCTAACTAGCACACTCCTGTTAACTAGAATGCCCCACTCTCCACCTCTGCCTACTAAGGGTACCACTGAATAACAAACCCTCCAACAACAGATGGGGTAGGAAGAGCAGTCTGTCTTGTCAGAGTGGAAACCAACAGGGAGGCTGGGCTCCCATTAGAACATGTGCAGTTACCGCATGTTCCTTCAGTGTCTTATCCAAATGCTCCCTCTCTTCCAGCTCTTTCCCCTGCTTTTAGACTTCACTCAGAACACAGCCACGTACACAACAATTTCCAGGGCAGCCTCCACCCCTGGGATCCTAGAAAGTTAGGCTGGATAGGAGGAGTGGCACAGCCATTCCACCCTGAGACTGTACACTTTCCCCAGTGCCGTCACAGCTGCTGACTGTTCAAAGTAACAAACTGGCTTTGCCTGTTTTAGCTTGCTGTAAAGTATACACTTCACGCTTTCCTGTTTACCCTTTTATTTTTATTTTTATTTTTATTTTATTTTGAGACAAAGTCTCGCTCTGTCACCCAGGCTGGAGTGCAGTGATGCAATCTTGGATCACTGCAACCTCTGCCTCCCAGGCTCAAGCAATTCTCCTGCCTCAGCCTCCCAAGTAGTTGGGACTATAGGCGCCCGCCACCACGCCCGGCTAATTTTTGTATTCTGAGTAGAGACGGGGTTTCACCATGTTGACCAGGCTGGTCTTGAACTCCTGACCTCAGGTAATCCGCCCACCTCAGCCTCCCAAAGTGTTGGGATTACAGGCGTGAGCCACTGCACCCGACCCTTTTCACATTCTTAGAGCAGCCTCTTTCTATATAGTTCAAACCACATATCATCCATCTGAGAATGACTTAAATCGAGATGTCAAACCCCTAACCACCCACCTGAGAAAGCTTAAAAAAGACAGGCATTTCCAACTCTTGCTGGGGATCCCCACCTGGGGGGCTCCCTGACACGTGAAATTCAATACAGCTACCACCAAGCTGACTACCAAGCCAATATCTTCTGTCTCTGTTTTCACAGCATCACCATTTTCCTAGATCCTTCACAGAAAAGCTGGGAGTCCCCTCTGTGCTTCCCTCTTACTCATCTCAAATGAAACCGTTTCCAGTCTCTCAAATTTTATGTACTTTCTTTTCCCAGCTAGACGGTGACAGCAGCCTCCTCCCTGTCCGCCCGCCTCAGCTCCCTCACTGCAGCCCTCCTCCCTGTCCGCCCGCCTCAGCTCCCTCCTTGCCGCCTTTCTCATCCCTTCCAGTCAGTCTCCATCTCATGCACTTTCAAACCTGTCATCTTCCTTCTTTAAAACTACAGAACAGGCTGGGTGCGGTGGCTGATGCCTGTAATCCCAGCACTTTGGGAGGCCAAGGTGGGGGGAATCACCTGAGGTCAAGAGTTCGAGACTCGCCTGGCCAACACGGTGAAACGCTATCTCTACTAAAAATACAAAAATTAGCCAGGCGTGGTGGCACATACTGGTAATCCCAGCTACTTGGGAGGCTGAGGCAGGAGAAATGCTTGAACCTGGGAGGCGGAGGTTGCAGTGAGCCAAAATCACGCCATTATACTCCAGCCTGGGCAACGAGAGCAAAACTCCATCTCAATTAAAACCACCACAACAACAAACCCACAAATAGGTAAGATGCAAGAATCTTAAACAGTCTTAAGAATCTTACTGACTAAGATTACAGGTGATTTTTATGTTCTTCTTTTTGCTCTTCAGTTTATTCCAAATTTCTATAAGAAGTATGTATTCCAACTGTCAAAAGAAGTTTTTCAAAAATGTTTATACAGACTGACAGATAGTCTGGAAGAAAATACAATAAAATATTGGAATAATGGTTGCCTCTGGTTTTCTTTTGTATTTTCATATATTTTCCATATTTTCTGTAATGAGCATGCATTACTTTTATAACCCACAAAATGAGGGCAGTTGTTGAAGTTCTAACATCCATACCCCACCATCAGCCAACCTGAACCTTTGTCCTATGGCCACCCTCCTGACTGTGTGCATACTTCACTTCCTACACCCCCATCTCCACCTGAGGAAACCCTGCCCATCCACCCAGTGCCATTTCCGGTATAACCTTCTCCCTTAAGTCTTTCCAGAATGTCAATCAGATACAAAGCTCTCTTCTTAAAACCCCAAAGCATGTCCAAACCCCCTTAACTCAGGCACGTACATAGTCTACCCTATGGAATGCCTGCTGGCTTCCCTGTAACCCCCTCTCTGCAGAGAACTCTGAACATGGGGCCCACCTCCCTGGACACTGTATTCTGTCACATAGCACAGCATGCATTGCACCTTGCACGTATGAGGCTCCTCGGGTGGAAAAAATCTGCTGAATTAAACTGTAACACTTTGAAATTTTCACAGAGCATCTTTATCAATGTAGTGTAGTTCATAATGGAGGGATTCCTAAAAAGAAGAATGCCAGTTTATGGAGAATTCAGCCCATCCATTGAGGCTTCGAAAGTGGAAATTCACTGATTATATGGGGAGGACGGGGAATGCAGAGTCAAACACAGAAAGAAAAAGAGCTCCCATTTCACCTCTCCCTTTCCTCTTCCAAATTCCTAGATTATAGACGTGGATTCAGAAGTGTTGAATGGGGCATATTTCCATCAGACTTACGTGCTGAAACACTTACTGTGTGGCCTCAGGCAAATTCTCTGTACTCTCTAACCCTTTTTTTTCTCATCTATAAACTAGGAGTAAAGAGAATATTATTCACAGTCACTGAGGGGATTTCATCTATGAGGTACTCAGTAAGCGTTCGTGTCCACTCTGTTCTCTTAGGCTCCCTGCCTGCACCACCTCTGCCCTCCCCACATGCGCAGGCACACCCTCTAAATCCCCTCTCAGTCCACTCGAGGTCAGAGCTGCTCCTCTGGTCACCCTGATCTCTGAGAATCACAGCATGCTGTGGTACAGCCTCAGAGCCGGCCCCCAGTCCTCAGATGAAACGTACCATACTGCAGCCTCATAGCAGCCTCTCTGGACGCTGCCTACAGAATTCCTGAGCCAGTTTCTCCATTTCTCAAGCATAAAACTCTTTGGTTATCACCCAACTCAGATGATCCCTCTCTAATGGCTACTTCTGAACCCACAGCTTTGCAAAAGCTTAATGCGTCTTCATATATTGACCTTCTCACCATCTCCTGGCTCAGTATCACCAGCCAGGTCTTTGTCACCCAAAACCTGCAAAGACACCTAGTCTCAACCAAGGGCAGGTGAGTGTGTGTCTCTGAGTCACACAGCAGGATGTCTGAAGCCTTAATCTGTCATGTAAAAAATGAGTAGAACTAAATTATTTATAACATCTCACTTGGTCATAGAATGATCTGATGGCTCTGTGGAAGGAAATGATAAAGAGAATCAAGATCTTTTTTCGTCTTTTTTTCTTCTCCTCAACTTTAACTGTGACATTACAATTGTGATCAGTGAGTAAATAAAATTTTCCCTACAAACAGCAAGTAACTGAGTATCGTTTTCTAGGAAAGAGTATGAAGAAAAAGGAAGTTAAGGGAAAGGAATAAATGAGTTTGTATCCACCAAATGCCTGCTGTGAGCCACACACTGATATCTGTATATGTGGAATCCGGTGATAACCCTACAAGGAAGATGCTACTAGCCCCAACTTAAGGATGAGAAAACAGAGATTCAGAGAGGTTAGGCCACTTGCCCAAAGACATAGATAGAACCAAGGCAGACTCTGGATTCCCATGAAGGAAGGCCTGGAATTCAAAGCCGACGTCCTTTCTGCTATACCTCCCTGGAAACAACGTCAGAAGCTGGTCTCTGTGGACCACTACGGATGCCTGCAAGCAAGCTGAATTAACAGCCTCCCCGTGCAGACACAGGGTTTGAAGGATGGTGCTGTGGGATCAAATTATTCATTACATAGATTCAGTGGCACCTGATAAATGACATGCAGTTCACGTGGATCTCGGGAAGGGAGCATAATTTTATGGAGCACCCTATTAGAGGTGCATTTTCTGTACTGGGCATTTACTGGATATCAATAAAGTACACGTAGAGTCAGGGGCACAGAAACAGCAAACCACATGCAGCGCATTTCCAAGGTGCTCCTCTCCACGGCTCCCTGGCCTCTTCAAAGGCAAAAGGGCGCACCTTGATGAAACCTCTGACCAGGGCAACAAAAGGACCCTCAATTCCGGCTACAGCTGGATAGCTGTAGGTCCTTGATCAGAAGGTGGAACATAGGCACAGACCAGAAATATCCTGAGCTCAACTCTAGAAAGGTAGCTCAGTGGACGAGAGACAGCCAGACCCTGGCCACGGACACACATTCCCAGACACCATCTTGGTGGCCTGGAGTAAGTCTCTTCTGGTCAGCTATCCAGCAAAGAAGAGAGCAGGGGAGGGGGGATTCAAAGACAGATTTCAGCTCTACGATGCTAGGAACAAGGAAGATGAATACGTGGCAAAAAATGTAAACATTTCAATTTATCTTCTGTGCTCTTTACTTTTCTGAAAATCTACATCATGTTAAATAATGCAACAAGACACCTTCCTTATCCCTACTCTTGATTGAAATCTACAAAATTTGAAAATACCTTCTGCTAATAAAAGAAACCATATAGCAATTAGCGGTTGATTGATATTTTCAGTATTTGATGGCAACTAATTACCTTCTGTCCACATCATTCCTAATGCTGCTTTAATTTGATTAATTTTTCTTTTCAGCCCCTTCCCTAATTTAAAATGTGCTCATATGCACGTGTACACTCCACTGTACCTCTGCACTGTGATTAATGCAGCTCCAGGTTCTTTATACACATTGCTATTTTTCAGCCTTAACCCCGGGAATATTCTCTGAAGAGTACCAGGTATGTATTTACCAAGAGGGGTCAAGAATCAGAATTCCAAGGTTGGAAGGGACCTTCCTTCTCATCTAGCCTCAATGCCCTGGAAATCTTCATAACCCCTTTCATATTACAGCAAACAAGTGTTCAGTCAAAGCTCAAATTACCCTCTGCCTCTTGAAGTAGCCCATTCCCCTTCACAGATCTAATGAGAGCTTGAAAGCTATTCCTACACTGAATCAAACCCCTGGTATGTTTCTTCCTTCACTCTAATTCTCTCCCTTGAGGTCACAAGGGACAAATTTAGCCCCTCTTCCTTATGACAACCTGCCAACACTCTGACCTCTTGAAGACAACTCTGGTAACTCCACGGGCCTCGTCGTCACCAAGCAGAATCCAAGCTCCTTCATCTGCTCCTCATTCAACACATTTTAGGATCTACTCACTATCTGCTCTCCTCAGAATGTGCCTCACTGTGTCTGTATCTCTGAAGGACAGTGGAGCCACAGCTGCTCCCCAGGGATGGACTGGTGAGCCATGGATCTCTAGACAGAATGACCTCTGCTCGTGGAAGCCCAGGCTTCTCAAAACCAGCTCCCTGGACCAGCACAGTTCTCCCAGCTGCTGGAAGGCAAGTGGTTGCTAGCTGGACATGGTGACGATAAAGGATTAAATAGCCAGTAGCACCACAGTCCAAAAGAATCAAACTCCTCCTGAGGACCTGAGAGCAAGGCTGAGATCAGGCAGGCTGAGAATGAGCTGTAGAGCTCTAACAGGACCTGACAAATATGCACACCAGCTGGCCTGGGGCAAAGTAAAGAAAGCCTTAACAAAAACAAAAAACAAACAAACAAACAAACAAACAAACATATATATATACTCATATATGCACACATATGGCACCCAGTTTGCCGAAGAGGCATCCTTTAGTAATTTTCTATTTCCTAAATGTGTCTGTTCATGGGCACTGACTTTTCTAAGGTTTCTGCAATTTGCTTTTCCCTACTAGAGTGGGTAGGAGATCTATGGAATTCCAATGAGCCAATGACCATGACACTGCAGTAGGTGTTGATTAATATAGTAGAATGATCTCAGCTCTAGCTCAATCCTAAGAGAAAATGTAGGACATATGGATGTGGGAAAGAGGTCCCAGATGAAGAAATCTTCATGAAAGGTCCCCAAAGCAATCTGCAGCCACAAGGGGACCCTCTTCTTAGCATTCTTGACAAGCAGTAAAACATCAGCAGATCAGCCTGGATCACTCCATTTCATCCCAGAAGGAACAGCAGAGCTGGGAGGGCTATTAGTGGAAAGTTAAACCTTTCATCTACCACATTCAAAACTGAGGCCTAGGCAAGACAGCTGGTTTGAGATACTCAGTGTTTTCATCACATGTGACCCCTCCCCTATAGTCACCTGAACAGTCACCTGCTGTAGAAATGGGGTGAAGAAAACACTAGAAGCCGTGGTTCCCTGCCACTAGCTTAGCCAAATCTCATAACAGGAACCATGAGGTCCAGAGGCTAAGAAATAACTTGACTAGCATCATGAGCTCTTCCCCAAGTTACTGTGCAGTGAATCTGAGGAATTTCACACTTCCCATTTTTTCCTATGGCATGCCACACAGTCATTTACACCTTACGTCTTTCTGGCATGGATAGAATACTTCCTCTGTCACTTTCCTATCTCCCAACCATTTTCCTCCCTTGGAAATCTCTGCCTTTCAGCATGGCTTGGCACCCGGTAGATGGTCAGTAAACACTAGTTCCCTTCACCTAGCACCTGCACCCTGCATCCCTCCTCTCTGAGGCTCCGAGTGTCACTCATCCAACGAGTACCCAGAAAACTAGGCTCGTCAGACATCTACATCAAAACGAGAGCTGGCACCATAAAGAACATCGGCCCATCAACAGCTAAAGCCCAAAGAAGTTTTCAGAAGTTCCCTTGAGACTTCCTCTTTAAGTCCCTCTCTATGACTTTTTGCTCCTCTATTCAAACCTAAACTTTTAAAATTAGTTCTTCCGCAACTCTGGGCAAATTAAATTTATGAATAAAAAGAATTTTTCCCACTTCTATCGACAATGTAAAGAACGTGATTCATCTAACAAGTATTTATATTCAGGGCTTATATTTGAGACTAGGCCCCAAGTAATCCAAGACCAGGCCCTATCATCAAAAAGCTTAGAGCACAGGCAGAGATGGGTAATCCATTCAATCTCTAATCATAATGCAAGGCGATAAACCTTATCCCATAAACAAAGGCACAAAGAAGGGTTGAGGGGGAAGGACTGAGGAAAGTCACAGAGACTTCAAGGAAGAGTAGGGTTTCAACTGAATACATGGGAGGGTGTGCAGTGGTTAGAGTAAGGGATGAGATGACAAGGCCTCAACACAGGTTGGGTGAGAAGTTGTATGCATGTATTTATTTATTTATTCTTGAGATGGAGTCTCACTCCGTCACCCAGGTTGGAGTGCAGTGATGCGATCTCGGCTCATTGCAACCTCTGCCTCTGGGTTCAAGCGATTCTACTCCCTCAGCCTCTGGAGTAGCTGGGATTACAGGCATGCGCCACCACGGCCAGCTTATTTTTGTATTTATAGTAGAGATGGGTTTTGCCATGCTGGCCAGGCTGGTCTTGAACTCCTGACCTCAGGTGATCCTCCCAAAGTACTGGCATTACAGGTGTGAGCCCACTGCGCCCGGCCCTAGTAGTAGTGTTCATTTAAAAAAGGCTAGGAGAGTAGATTGAAATTAGGTTCTGCAGAACCTTACATGTCAGACTAAGGAGTGCAGGAATCTTTCTAGTGACCAAGATTTCCCCAGCAAAGGAATGATATGATCACAGCTGTACCACGAGGAGTGTCTCTCTCTGATGGGGAGGTAATAATCAGATTTCTTAGAAATGTGGTGGTGATGAATCCAGGGACTGTCAGTAGAGGGACTCTCAGCTCTGTCCACTGGACTCCATACACAAGACTACCACCTGGTCCAGCCCCCATCTCTAACCCATTAAAGAGTGTGCCCTCTCTGCTCTTGAGAAAAGGGGACCCAGATAATTTTTATTTGGTCTTTTTTTTTTCTTCTGGTAATAGTTGAGGCTGTGGTTTAAATAGGAAAATCAAGCTCTTTTGTGAAAAAGGAGAATACTGTTGTTTGTTTGGGAAGGGTATGAAGAGGTGTGTGGGCTGTAGCGAGAGACTTCAATCTGGTTTCTTCAAATCTTGTCTCACACCCTCATGCCATTCTTCACACTCAGGCTGGAGCAATCATTCTAACATGCAAAGATGATCCTATCATTTCCATAGTTCTTCACGCCCTTTGTAAAAAGTGTAATTTTCTTAATCTGGTTTATAGCTAAGTGGGTGAACGGTGACACCAGATAAACACAAAAAGAACTGGTTTGGTGGGAGAAGAAGCTACTATCTGTTAAGGGCCTAGCTATGATGTGCGCATCACCACCCTATAAAACGTACATATTCTACACCATTTAGACCTGCCTTGCCAAAGAGATATCACTATCTCCATTGAACAAATGATGATCCTAGGATGCAGACTATAGTGATTTGCCATGGACCCAGAACTAGTTAGATTAGGTAGAGCTGGGATTTGAACCCAGGTGTGAGTCCAAGTCTGTGAGTATTCCATCTGAACACACTGTCACCAAAACCCATTTGTTCTAAAAGGAATTCGGAGTGGGGAAATGAAACAGGGGCGGTCTTTGAGTAAGATGGGTCTTCACGTTTTATACCCATCTTTCTCCCCACCCAAAATCTTTTGTACCATGGTCTTGATTTGACCCCTGCCTTTAACCATCTAGATTTGGCATTCATCTTAACTACACCCCTACAATTTTTCATCAAATTTATGGTCATTATTTCCTCAAATACATTTTCTGTCCCAGTATCTGTCTGGGCTTCTGGTGACACTCCAATTGCACATACATTACACCACCTGCCATTCTCTCCCAATCACTGACGATCTGTTCATTCCATAACAATAGTTTTTCTCTATGTGCTACAGTTTGGAGAATTTCTACTGACCTGTCTTCAAATTCACTGACTGAAGCCCAAATTTGGCCGATAACCAATATCTGACATTCTATCCCAGTGGTCTGTGGAGGTAAAAGAGTTAAGAGATAGACGCAAATGCTGATGTACTTCATCGATACATTATAGTCTTATTTCAAGCACTGATTTCATATTCTAAATCACATTACAATGTTCCTTTGCCCTGTGCTCCATTCCAAGTATACCAGAAGTACAATCTGAAGTGCTTCTCAACTTCAACTCTCATGAAGTGACCCATTTTGTATGAGATCCAATGCACACTTTCAACATGATTCTGAGTGGTTTAAATCAAACCATTCTATCTAAAAATGCAGGTAATATTGACCTGCAAGTAAAGCAATAGTAATACCTAAATACTCTCTAGGAAGGACGTGTATCTGTGTTTTGCTAGTGTCACTTTTTATAAATTTACTTTTTAATTGACAAACACAATTTTATGGTGTAAAACGTGATGTCTTGATATATATACACACTGTGGAATAAGTAAATTATGCTAAGTAACATACCTATCACCTTACACACTTAACACTGTTATGTGGTGAGAACATTTAAAATCTACTCTCTTAGCAATTTTCAAGTGTACAATGTATTATTATTAACTATAGTCACCAAGATCTCCAGAACTTATTCTTCAGGTCCAATTGAAACTTTGTACCCTTCGACCAACATCTCTCCAGCCCCTGGTAACCATCATTGTACTCTCTGCTTTGATGAGTTCGACTTTTCTAAACATTCCACATACAAGTGAGATCGCGCACTATTTGTTTTTCTATGCCTGGCTTATTTCATTTAGCATAATGTTCTCCAGGTTAATCAATACTGTTGCCAACGACAGGATTTCCTTCTTTCTTAAGACTGAATCGTATTCCATTGTGTATATATACCGCAGGTTTTAATCCATGCATCCACTGATGGACATTGTATCTTGTATGTTGTGAATAGTGCCTCAATGAACGTGAGAGTATGAATATCTCTGAGATAGTGATTTCATTGCCTTTAGATATGAAGAAGTAGAATTGTTGAATGATATAATAGTCTTGTTGTAAATTTTTTTACAAACCTCCACACTGTTTTCCATAATGGCTGTACCAATTTACAATCCCACCAACAGTGAGAGTCCTCACCAACACTTGCCATCTTTTGAATTTTTGATAATAGCCAAGCTAATGTGTCATTTAAAAGGGCTATTTAAATTCTCAAAACAGAGGGATAGAAAACCTTACAAAACTATGAAAATATGGCATTTGAGAAGGTCTATAAAGGCCTAAAGCTTTTTTTGTATTATTATTAAAAGTAGTTACGTTCAAAAGCCAAAAGTATTGAACTAGGAGGCAATAGCTTCCTAAGTGGTATTCCTGCTGCATCTCTCACCAACCTAAATATGCCATCTTCAACAGAGCACTCACGGTGGCTTTAAAAAAAAAAAAGTCACGTCATACCTCTGCCTTAAACCCTCTAGACTTCCTATAGTGTGCAAAATAAATGTTAAAGTCCCCACAATTACCCACGAATTACCTGTGAATTGCCCTTCATGATCTCGTAGTCTCTGACCTCAGCTGCTCCTCCTCCTCCCTTGCTGATTACACGCCAGCCACACAGGCCTCCGCCACTCCTGCCTCAGGGCCTTTGTACTTGCATTCCTTCTGCCTGGGACACTTTTTCCATAAATCTGTGCAAAACAACCTGTCTCAGGTATTTTTCCTTCATGACTTCTCTGACTATGTTATTTTAAATTACAACCCCTCAACCTAGCCTAGCATTTCCTATTCTCTTTCCCTGCTTTATTTTAATCAACAGCACTTATCATAATCTGACATGCCATATGCTTTACATATTTATCTCATTTTCTGTCCCACCCTACTGGAGTATAAGCTGCTAGAGATTTTTGTTTGTTTCCTGTTGCAATAAATAAACCATCTGATGAACATGTGAATAAATAATCTCAGTGCCAGGCCATTAACTAGTTCTGCCATTAACTAGTAGCCTGACCCTGGGGAAGTCAATGTCTCTGAGCCTTAGTTTTCTCATCTCAGAGTTAAGTGTAAAGAACAAATATATATATGTATATATACACATATATACATATATATATTTATAATATGTAGCTTAATATAGACATGGAAAAGCTGGGTGGTGCTGGTACAAGTGTTTAACAGCCTCTTCATTGCAAGGTAGATTAAAAATGTCTTACATGGGAGAAAAAATGGGGACAAAAACTTCAATACAGTTACCAAAACCTTCACAGCAATTGAAAAGCTGTTTGTCATTCAGTTGGTGCAGATGTCTGGTCATTTCTTATGCATCACTGCAGACCTATGTCTTGGCAGCAGGATAAAAGCATGCACTGGCTATTTGCTCGGGAAGGCGGCTCTCATTTTCTGCACGTGGGAAAGCAGAGCCCCACACAGACTCCATGCTATTGGGCTTTCCCCATCATGTGGCCATCCCACTGCATATCTGTACTGCAGAGCTGTCAGTGTGAGGCCTGGCCAAAGACACACCCGCCAGGCACAAGTTATTCAGCCAAGAGCAAGGAACGGGAAAGGGTTTCTGGGCTCATCTGTCCTCAGGTAGCTGTCACTTCCTGCTCCTAGTGTCATCACATTCCTGAAATTCCCCAGACGACCCTCCCCAGTCCTCCTCCCTTAATGTCCTTGTAAGATGAATCAAAACTCTTCCATGCTTCCCAATGTGAGTGCCCACTGCCACCCTGACAAAGGTCATATGCTGAGGAAACAGAATGCTGGTGAAAGAAAGGGTAATAAGAATGTCACCAAGCACTGAATCCATATAAGGGTGCTGGAAGAAAGATGGACGCAGGCTCCCACTAGAAACAGCTCCATCGTGACCTGACAAGTGGCAGAATTATGGAAATTAGGAAACTGGAAAAGGGTCATCACATAAAAACATGAATGAGATTCAAAGGACTTTTTAGGAGACAACAGGCATATGGCAAAAAAATAAAATAAAATTTCTTTTCCTAAGAAAACACAGTGCTGATTCACCCTGAGTAGGCTTGGTTCTGGAAGGCCACATCTGACTATGTGTTCACTCAGCTTATGCTAAGCATATTTTTGAAAGATTGTTTTGAGTTTCTTCATGGTAATGTCTACCATGATGTATCACTGATTATTTCCATATTATCATGAATGTTGGAATCCCAGCTGAAATCTGGAAGGATATAGGGTGGGACCTCCATCAGAAAGACATCCATCTGCAGGCACCACTGTTGCTCCCAAGGTCAGTGAGCTCAGCAAGGAAACTTGGTCTTGGTCAAATATAATTCTTTGTGTAAGTCTGGGACACTGATGACCCAGGAAGATGAAAAGTGTTTTTCCTAATAACACCTAGTGGTTATGGACATAGAATAATACAATGATCGTGGGCTTTTAAGACTCTGTACATAAGAATGTAGGGAAAGTTCACAGGTTCTTGCATCACTGTTCACACTACTTGGGCCTAAGGTATGCCAAGCTAAACGTCTGTTTCTCCACATGGTTCAACCATGTTGCTTCAACTGAATCCCACTTCTTAGGCTTTCAGTGGTAACATTTCCAGTTATTCCTGAAAAAAAAGAACTGGCACTGTTTGATTTTGATTGCCTACCAGGGGAAAACAAAAAACAAACAAACAAAAAAAAACCAAAAAGGTGTACATTGTACTGGACCTAACAAATATCTTTTTTTTTTTTTTTTTTTTTTGGAGACAGAGTCTCGATCTGTCGTCCAGGCTGAAGTGCAGTGGTGCGATCTTGGCTCACTGCAAGTTGTGCCTCCCGGGTTCACCCCATTCTCCTGCCTCAGCCTCCCAAGTAGCTGGGACTACAGGCGTCCGCCGCCACGCCCAGCTAATTTTTTGTATTTTTAGTAGAGACGGGGTTTCACCGTGTTAGCCAGGATGGTCTCAGTCTGACCTTGTGATCCACCCACCTCAGCCTCCCAAAGTGCTGGGATTACAGGTGTGAGCCACCGCACCCAGCCAAATTTCATTCATGGGAATTATTTTATTTTTATTTACCTTATTCATACACAACACTGTTCCAAAAAAGAATTTGAGACCACTTACAAAAATACATACACGAGATGTGTATGAGATTAAAAAAGAAGTGGGTCAGTAAATATCTCCCCTTCTTGAATCCCCAAAAATTTGGCAGTGATAACCACGAACAGTTTTACCTACACCTTCTGTGAGAACTGGAAGTATGGAAAATCCACTCTGGGGAGTGTCTTCTGCTACCCTCAAACTCATTCACGATATTAAGCAGAGGCGTGAAAAAGCGCTCCAGGTGAAATGGCCCAGCTGTTAATCTTCGCTATGGGCAGCATCCCTGAGCAGGCTTTGTAATTTCTTGACTGCTTCTCCATTTCTATCATTTCAACAGTTTGAAGGCATTGCACATCTAGAAGCAAGACCTCCTCCAACCCTCAGGCCCTCTCTGGAGTTGCTTTTTTAAACCTGAGCTACTGAGGGTCAGGACTCAAACCTGCACTGCAGCACATCCCCTGGTCACAAGATCTGGGGAAAGAACGAGAGAGAAGATCGCTGCTCCGTGGAGAGAGCTTTGCCTGAGAACCTGCCTTCTGCCACCTGACAGTGTGCCTGCTTCTTGCTTTACTCAAATCTGTTGCAGCAATCTGTACTGTGGCTCTATTTTCAAGTATTCACCCAACTGGTTACAAATTTCAATAATCTGGTTAAACGCCCAAGTGAAAATGGTCATTCCGTCAAATTAAGGCAGTTTCTATCCCTTGTTAAATGGCTTTTGACTTAAACAACTATCCATATATACACTGACACTTGGGAATACACGTTTAGAGCCATGCTCAGATACATGGAGCAAAATGGTACATAAGGAAAATCACCACTTATCCTGCTTTCTTCAGCAAACTGGATCTCACAGTAACCATACAGTTGATAAAGAGAAGTCTCTATTTATAGAAATATTTCAGCTCACAAATTTAAAAAATGCTAGAATTAGAATATCTTGCAGTTTCTAAGAAAATAATGGACTGAGGCAATGATCAGTAAGGGGATGCTAACTTCACCAAAAGAAAAGGAACCAGGGCCGGGCGCAGTGGCTCACACCTGTAATCCCAGCATTTTGGGAGGCTGAGACGGGTGGATCGCCTGAGTTCAGGAGTTAGACACCAGCCTGGCAACATGGTGAAACCCCATCCCTACTAAAAATACAAAAATTGGCTAGGTGTGGTGGTGCACGCCTATAATCCCAGCTACTCAGGAGGCTGAGGAAAAGAATCGCTTGAACCTGGGACGCAGAGGTTGCAGTGAGCCAAGACCGCACCACTACACTCCAGCCTCAGCAACAGAGTGAGACTCTTTCTCAAAATAAATAAATAAATAAATAAATAAATAAATAAATAAATAGAAAAGGAACCGGGTGTTAAATGCCTCCTGAATGAAACACACCACCACTTACAGATGCTGATCAGCCCTCTCACTCTCGGTTTGTAGAAAATACAAGAGGACAAATGAACATGATCGTTCGGTCAAGACTAAAGGAAATAGGACAGGCTGAATTATTTAATTTCTTAAATAAATAGCAAGGGAAAGAGAGAAAGAAGGGTGAACTTACAGATGAAAAGAAACTATTTATATTAACCAATTGCAATGTATACACGATCTGGCTCATGATTCAGATAAACAGTTTTAAAAAACATTTATGAGGCAACAGGGGAAATGGACTCACTGGAGATTTGATGATATTTAAAAAGTATTATTTTAGGTGTAAAAAATCCATCTTATCTTTTAGAGATATATACCAAAATATTCATGGATGAGTTGATAGGGCAGCTGAGATCTGCTTTAAATATGCTAGGATAGAAGAGGGGGAGGGAGTGGGGATGTAGACAAGGCACATTTAGCCATAACTGAGACCTGTGGAAGCTGAGCGAGCAAGGCTTCATTATACTAAGCTCTGTATTTTTGTTTGAAATCTTTCACAATTGCAAAGTAAAAAACAAATACCTTTTAAAACTCAACTGAGAGAAATGATATTGACAGAAAATCTTCTAGAAGACAGCTGGTCCATTGCTTGTTTTAGATACAACGCAATTAACTTCTGGGTTAAACCAGAGCCAGCAGACAAGCACGCTAGCACCTGCAGAGATGCAAGGACCAAATAGTCCCTTGTGGGGAGAGGGTCACGAGCCCAAAGAGAAGAGCAGTGTGGCAAACAGCCACGAGACTTGCGCGCCGCTCACTCCTAGGGTGCCATCAGCAGTGCTGCCTAAATGCCTTGTAGTACATATAGTGTCCTCCTAAGTACCCTTGAAAAATTTCTTTCTGGTTCCAGAATCCAAAATATGTGTGATTCCCCCAAACGTGTACATTTTTAGAATCAGTAAGTAAAACTGAAATCCATCGCCATTTCACACCCATTAGGATGGCTATAATTTTTAAAAATAAATAAATAACAAGGGTTGGCAAGGATACAGAGAAATTGGAACCCTTGTGGTTCGCTGGTGGGAATGTAAAAGTATAGCCGTTTTGGAAAATGATATGGCAGCTCCTCAAAAAATTAAACATGGAATTACCATATGCTCCAGCAATTCCATCTCTGGGTATACACCCAAAAGAATGGAAAGCAGGGACTTGAAGAGAGATCTGTACACTCAGGTTCATCGCAGCCTTATCCACAACAGCGAAAAGGTGGAAGCAACTCAAGTATTGATTGACAGGTGAATGGACAAACCAAATGTGGTCTATAGATACAATGGGATAAGAAGGAAATTTTCATACACAGTACAACATGGATGAACTTTGAAGACATTATGCGAAGTAGAATAAGCCAGTCACAAAAGGGTAAATACTGCATGATTCTATCTATAGGAGGTCCCTAGAGTAGTCAAATTTAGACAGACAGGAAGTAGAATAGAGGTTACCAGGGGCTGGGGGAAGGAGGACTAGACGGTGTTTAGTGTCTATGGAGCTTCCCTTTGAGAAGATAAAATAATTCTGGAGCTAGATGGTGGTGATGGGTACAAAACAATGTGAAGGTACTTAACACCACTGGACCATACGCTTAAACAATGGTTACAATGATAAATTTCATATTATGTATCTGTTACCACAATTTTTTAAAAATGAAGTCCATCATGCAACCAACTGATTTTTCTTCATGTTGCTGCTAGGAAACATAGAGCCAAATTTATGAGCAAGTTTTATAAATTATGTAAGATTATGACATGCATTCTTTGTGTATTTCATTTCACTTTCTTTTCCTTTGGCCTAATATTTACCTAATTCTAATGCATGTTAGTTGGCTGTGTCTTGCATATATTTTAATTTTCCTTTAATCCATTTTATAACAAGTCCCAAGATAAATGGCTGGGGAGAATGAGAACAAGAAAAAGAATATTAGGTTTTATATTATCTGAATTTGATCCTTGATTGCTCCGTATTTTTCTTAAAAATGCTAGTTGGGTTAAATTTAATAATGAGTAACTTTTTTCCTTTTAGTTGTTCTCTATACCTATGTTTCTCTTCTTAAAAAAGTTAATTAACAGAGAAGTAATAGAAAATATTTGATTGTTTCTCCTGAACATCCTGTTGAATGTATTTTCTCTGTAGAAATTTAAGAAATGTCCGCCACATTTGTAAAATAAATCTTTCTCGTTGTCAAAACTTAAAGGAAAAAACGTCAGTCAAGTGGGTGGTTGCTGTACACTACTGCAAAAAGTGAAAAAATTAGCCACATCTGATTAGCTTTACAGTTGAGGCCAAAAGAGAAATATAGTATTTTCTGAGAGCTCTGTATTGACACAGAAGCAAACAACCAGTCTCACTTGGACACATGGTGAGAGTGAGCCTGATAGAGAGTTTAATAACATGGGCTTCTCAGTACCCAGCCAATATTAGGTGAGTTCTCAACTAATGCTGTCTGTTATCCTTCAAAATCCCTGAGTTACGGGACTCGTCTGGTGTTATGAAGGAGAGGTGATGGATCCCATAGAGCCTAGTGATGTTGGCGTCACTCTCCCGGGGACTTGATCACAGCTCACCCAGAGTGAGGAGAGCAGGTGGTCTGCCAGGGAGCACCTGTCCGGCTGGTCTGTCATCCCCATGCCAAGGGGCCAATGCATCATTTCCTGACACTCTGACAACAGTCCTAGGTGGCAAACAGTTTTCTTGTCATGTTACAGATGAGAGATGGGGCTTAAGAAGGCGGAAGAAACTTGTCTAGAGTCAACAAGGATTACAGGACTCCAGTGACCTTTGGGAATTCTGAATTCTTTACAGACTCCTCCATAACCTTTTTGTGGGAGGAGGGCTTCACTTTCTGGTTCTTACTTACAACCGAAATGGGAGAAGTTCATGGATAAGTGATCTCTATACAAGTAAAGTGTTATTATATGAAACATTCTCTAACTTACTCCCCTCTACAATGGATTCTGTGCCATCCTCCAACCTACAGTCCACCTTCCATACTCTAAACATATGAACCCACCCTCCTCTGTGACTCCATAATTTGTTCTTTTCTGGACCAGCCCAGGTCAACGTGGCTGCACCATCCCAGCCAATGCTTTCCAAACCAAAAGAGATTTTCAACACAGGTTTTCAAAGGTCTCTTTCTCCTTCTCTATATTATCTGACTTCTCTACACTCAAGAAGAAAACGAAAGTTGAAATCATGCACAAGACATATAAAATAAAATGCATCTTAAACTATGTCTCCAATGACCATTGCCCCCTCAAGTTGCTTCAAATTACCCAGGGAGGAAGGCCTATTTTTATCTCTCCAAGTGCTCTACCATTTAAGAAGTTTGCACCAGTTAGCAGCCTGCAGTTCTGACCATCTTGTGAATTTAGATTGTTTCGCTAATTATAAACACATTTCAATGTCATTCTTTCTGGCCTTTTTCCTGGAATGAGTGGCTGCCCCTCCAGAGTTCACAGAATGGGCTTCAGTAGTTTTCAGTCAAGATTCAGGGAGAAATACGCCACACCGGGACTCGGTTATTTACCAACATCATGCTGGATATGTGCCAGTGAGACACCAAGACACTTCCCTTTGAAGTCTGACATATTGCCGGCTGCTTCCAATGTTGTTTTCTTGGCTGGCAGACAAATAACCGGGGCTGATTCAAAACTCACCTCCCATTCATGTCAGACAGGAAACGATTTCTTGTGATTGGTTCATCTTACATTGATCTCACTCTCCTTGGAGGGGCCGAAGGTGAGTACCCCAGAGAGGGACAAGTCTCTGGGCTCCTGTCAGCCACGGGCCCCTGCTCCGGGACCTGTCCATTCACACAGCTGTTCAAAAAAAGGTCACGCGAACACTCGGCACCTTAGCTGTCAAAAGAGATGTGCCGTGCGACAAAAAACACATTTTCCTAAGTCCTCGGCTTGGCTTTTGCTCCCCACTCTCGTTTGAAGAATCTTCAGAGAATCTGACCCGGAAAACATGTTTTCCAGTGGTTTGAGGTCAGAGAGACATTGCCATCAGGCTACTAGGAGCCTGAAAACTCACGACAACCCAAAGAATTTGCAGAGGTACTTCTGCTGTTGCTGCTTGGTATCAATTTATCAACATTAAGGTTTCTCACTGCAGAATCTTACCTTTCACCAAAAAGCCTGGACGTGAGTTCCCAAATGGTACGGGTTCACACCTTCAGATCCAGCAATCCCACTGCTGAGTATGTACCCAAAAGAGAGGAAATCAGTGTATCGAAGAGACCTCTGCACTCCCAGGTTTGCTGCAGCAGTTATTCACAACAACCAAGATTTGGAAGCAACCTAAGTGTCCATCCACAGAAGAATGGCAAAGAAAATGTGGTACCTGGGGAGGCCGAGGCAGGCAGATCACGAGGTCAGGAGATCGAGACCATCCTGGCTAACATGGTGAAACCCCGTCTCTACTAAAAAGACAGAAAATTAGCCAGGCATGTTGGCACGCACCTGTCATCCCAGCTACTCGGGAAGCTGAGGCAGGAGAATTGCTTGAACTCAGGAGGCGGAGGTTGCAGTGAGCCGAGGTCGCGTCACTGCACTCCAGCCTGGGTGAGGGCAAGACTCTGTCTCAAAAAAAAAAAAAAAAAAAAAAAAGAAAGTGTGGTACATGTACACAATGGAGTACTCCTCAGCCATAAAACAGAATGAGACCCTGTCATAGTGCATAGTGCAACATAGTGTTGCAACAACACTATGTTAAGTGAAATAAGTCCAGCACAAAAAGACAAACATCACATGTTCTCACTTATTTGTGGGATCTAAAAATCAAAACAATTAAACTCATGGAGATGAGAGTAGAATGATGGTTACCAAAGGCTGGGAAGGGTAGGTAGTAGGGGTACAGGAGAAGGTGGGGATCGTTAATGGATGCAAAATATAATAGTGAGAAAGAATGAATGAGACCTAGCATTTGATAGTACAACAGGGTGACTATAGTTAGTAGTAATTTAATTGTATATTTAAAAATAACTAAGAGTATAATTGGATTGTTTGTAACATAAAGGATAAATGTTTGAGGGGACAGACACCCCATTTCCATGATGTGATTATTACATACTGCATGCCTATATCAAAACATCTCACATGCCCCATAAATATATATACCTACTATGTACCCACAAAACTTTTAAATTAAAAAATAAATAATGATGGGTTCAAAGAATTTTGACTTAGCAGAATGTTTTTTTAAATGTTTCAGTGTTCCAAAACAAAGTCAATTCTCAGTAACTGAGAACAAAGGGTTTTAAAGGCTACATAGCCCCACCTCCAAACTGGTTAAGGATGACCACTCTACCATCTGAATATCTCAAGTAATGGAGAATTCATTACCCTACATCCCTGGAAAGTATTAGTACAATATTAAAACTGCAACTGTAAAATCAGATCAACTCCCTCACTCTTATTGAAGTATCACAAACTAGGTTTTATGAATACGCATTAACTTTCAAACTGAAGTTATTCAGGAAGAACACAACAATATTTATTGAATATAATTTCCAAAGTTAGCGTAACTACTAGTGTGGATGTGACATTATATACAATCCAATCTATGTCATTGCAATTTTTTCCATTTGTTCACTTTGTCTATCCAAGTTCATTATTTTTCCATTTCTACTTAACTTGGTGTGTATTTATTATTCTTGGTGCAATACGTTATAATATACAACCTCGTTAAAGGGGGACATTATATCCTAATTGCCTAAAACCCTCCAGGTTTATCCCTCATTATTTCATTATTTCAGTATAATTGTTCACAGCACTCTTTTTACTCTCGAATGTATCCTAGTTTGGATGACAAATTTATGTTCAAAGATAGTAAAGTTTAAATTTTTTTTTTTTTTAGACAGAGTCTCGCTCTGTTACCTAGGCTGGAGTGCAGTGGCGCGATCTCGGCTCACTGCAACCTCCGCCTCCTGGGTTCAAGTAATTCTCCTGCCTCAGCCTCCCAAGTAGCTAGGATTAGAGGTGCATGCCACCATACCCAGCTAATATTTTATATAAAATATTTTTTAATTGTACCAAGAATCTTCACAAATTAAGCTTGGAATCCCATGCCCTCCATTTTCCACCCTTTTAAATTAGTAAGCTTTGATTTTCTCGTGAAATTACCCATCTTCTTGACTATGGAGTATTTTTAAGGCAATGAGTAGCTGGTCTGTGCTGAGAACAAGCACTTCTGCAGAGGCTGGAACCCGGCCCTCCACGTGGACAGAGTGGACCGTGGCCAACGGAATGTCACTTTCATTAAGATATTGACGGCCAGAGAGAACCTTTCTAAGACAGGCCCAGCAGGGTGGCAAAAGATGTTCTCATACCTGAGGAAGCCTCGGCCATGTTTCTTTAATCTCTGGGTGCCTCAGTTTGTCTGCCTATAAAGGAGCACAATGATGCCCACTACACAGGGCGGGCGCTCTAAAGATCAAATGGGTGAGAGCCAAGGGGGCACTCACAGCTACCAGGAACAAAGACAGGAAGTAATTGCAAAATGTGTGGCTCCACTTTTCCAGCTTGCAAGCAGAGGGCTCCCACTGACTTGAAAGACAGCATCACACACAGGTAGGAGAAGCCCCCCAGGAGGACCAAGCCTATTACCTTCGTTCTCATTGTCCAAAAGGGCAGAGGAGAGGGAGAGCCACAGAGGAAGCTAAGAATGATGGGGGCAGAAAAACCAGAGAGAAAAGGAGACCAGGAGAAAAACTAACTGTTGGGCTACATAAGAAAATCTGTGAAGACTGTATGCCAGCGACAGTTTTTAAGGAATCATCTATCTATTCTCTGATCCCTTGATATGACCATTCATGCATTTTTCACACTGGAATGCCTTTATCCCACACTCTATCTGTCTTTCCTGACATTTCACATTCTAATCTAAAAGCTTCATGGAAGTTCAATGGTCATCTGTAGAGTGGATTACATTTCAAAGTTCTTATTTCGGTAGCATTCTAAAGGTAAGGTATATTCAAATGATTAACCAACAGATAACGACATTGTGGCCGGGTGCGATGACTCATGCCTGTAATCCCGGCATTTGGGGAGGCTAAAGTGGGCGGATCTCTTGAGGTTAGGAGTTCGAGACCAGCCTGGCCAACATGGAAAAACCCCATCTCTACTAAAAATAAAAAAAAAAAAGGTGAGCGTGGTGATGCACACCTGTAATCCCAGCTACTTGGGAGGCTGAGGCAGGAGAATCGCTTGAACTCGGGAAGTGGAGGTTGCAGTGAGCTCAGATCGTGCCAGTGCACTCCAGCATGGGCAACAGAGTAAGACACCATCTCAAAAAAAAAAAAAATGACATTATAATTAGTGATACTATTTTATCACAAAATATGAAGACCTCCAAGGCTGAAGAACGGGTCTAAACAATTACAAGTGCCATCACTGTTTTGATGAACTCACAGTCAAGGGAATGTAAGACATCCTCCTGTGCATTAATAATACATGCTACTGTGGTCAAATGGAAAAGCATGATAGCCGTAGGAGATCTTGCTCCAACCAGTATTCTCCCAGCAAAGGCTACTTCTCAAGACTCCTTCAGAGCACTCCGGGAAGGCATGCAAGTATACAAATCGATTTGCTAAATGGGCCTGGCTGCAGATCATACTTTTGTGTGTGGACCCAGCTGAAAGGTGTCCCTGAATCTATAAGGCCTTCCCATGGTTCCTTGAACCAGTGCAGAGAGAGTCAGGGAACATCACAACAAGAACATAGATTCCAGGTCAATTAGACTTGGGCTCAAACTGTAGCTCCACCAACCACCTCCTTGGCCAAGTGGCTCTGGATAAGTCACATGGCCTCGCTAGGAAGAGGAGTATATGAGTCCATCAGCTTTGCAAGAGGCTGGCAGGATGAAATGCCCAATGTATCCCAAAGAGTCAAGCACTGTGCTGAGTTGACCTTTCCATTGCAGTGATAAACAACCCAGAATGGCAGAAGTCCACCCTCAAAACCCCCCAAATCCCCTACTCTACCCTAGCCCAGGGCGACAAGTGATAGAAAGTGAGGATCATCTTGAAGACATTAATATAAAATGCTTGCATATACTTAACCAAAATAAGGCCTTAATTTAAGCATCTGGAAGAGCTAAACTGCACTTCTAAAGTAAGAATTCTTAGATGTCAAACATATTCTACTTTATCATCTGTAGAATTCTGCTTCTTATATGTTGTTAACTTGTAGAAATTATGCACATGATTCATCTCTTCTAAAACCACACATGCTGGCCATGCACAGTGGGCCTCCCAGGGGCTGCCCCCTGCTCCAAGAGCTTTCAGTCCTGAAGGCGTAAGAGGTAAAGGCCAAGGGCCTAGAGCTGCAGAGGCCTTAGAGTTCACCTGTCAGCCTCCTCATCGAAAAGCGGAGGCTTAGAGAGGGGAAGTTGCCCGCTGAAAGTGAAACAATGAGGGCCTTGGGGAAGAATGTTGAGGAAGCCGCTATAAACCAAATCTTTCCACTGCAACCCCCCACTGCAAAATAAAATAAAATAAAATAAAAAATAGAAAGAAAAGAAAAGAAAGACTTGCCACAGAGCCTCATTCCCTGTTATTTCGAATTCTGTAGTCAAACAATGTCATCAGCCCATCTGGTACTGAATCTGCCCTTCAAGAAAGAAGTTTTACTTCAATATCACAACAGAGGGAAACCCACTAATAATAGGTTAGTGTCATTTACTATTTCCCAATATGACATAAGACTTAGTTTCTCATATGCCTGGGGTTGGCGAATCTGAGAGACTGGAAAATAAATAAATAAATCATCAAAAGACCCCTTTGAACATTGATATATGTGACATTTGCTGTCCCATGATAACAGACACCATGCTGGGACAGGAAAGTTAGCAAATCAAACGTTTTAGCACATGGTTTAGAGAGGCCATTATGCCTTCTACAAAATCAACTTCTCCATTTAAATTTCTGGGCATAATGATTTCTCATCACTGATCAGTATGTTTTAAAAGGTGATAGCCTACACAGAGCATGATTTACCAACACTGAGGTGGAACTGGGTCCCTGTTTATGACTCTGCAGCTGCTAATCCTCACTGATGCCTAATTCTGGTTCCATCTCTGGGAATAAGGGAACAATCTAACTTCAGTGTGCTCATTTATAGACCAGGTTGTTCTGAGGCTAATTTCCAGTTCAAACGCAATTCAAGTCTTCAAAGCAGTTTTGTACCCTCAAAGGAGATTACCATCAAGACCAGAGCAGGAGAGAAGCTACGGGAGGCGTGAAATCAGGGGACCTCACATTTTTAGGATGAGAGACATCACAGAACCTGTCTAAACGTGGAGGTGAAGGAACCAAGGGAGGCAGCTGAATGCCCAGTTGAAATTCCAGAGCACAGAGGTCGTCATTTTCAGTGGGTAACACAGGGATGAACCCCAGAGCACTGCTAGAGAGAAGGGGAGGGGAGGTGGGAGATGGGCCCAACAGAAGAAGAGGTAAGGAAGGAAAGAATGGAGAAAAGAAGGCAGGCAAAGAAAGGGCCATGTGCAGAGATATTCTGAAGGAAGTTTAGATGACATGAGGCATGGAGGGAAGGAAACACAGATTAAAAAGGACCTCTTCACCAAACAGTTTGGAATTTTAACAGAGAAGTTCTGCTCAACCACATAATTGTACATTTTAAGTATATCACTCAGGGATTGGCCTTTGCTGAAAACATTTTTAATTAATGTTTTCTCTTAAGGAGCGTGCTTAATTCATGATGGAGAAGGAAGAGATCATTCAATTAGATTAATCTTTGTGTAATAATAAGTCAAAACTACTTAAATTCCAGCCTTTAACAAAGTGATATATCTATGCGGAAAAAAAAAAAATCCGTGCTAGCAAAGAAAAACTCAAACCCTAAATTAGCAGGTTAATTCACAGTGTGGACATAAGAAATAGCAAATACTCAGTTTGATACGTGGTTGTCAACGTGAGAAAATAAAGCACGCTAAATTCTATAGAATAAGCTTTTCCAACCCCAGAAATTACTAGGAACTCAATAGTTTTCTTGGCTGTAACAACTTGTAAATATCTAGAAGAGCCCAGATTTTGAAGCCCTGAGAACACTTGCTAAAACTAAGAAATTTGGCACTAGTCTTTGCACACAATTTGGGTTTTCTTTCAGAATTGATATCTTACCAAATACAGCCATCTGTGTTCCCTCTGGGAAAGGTTCGACTGTTCTGTTGCCATTGACATGATGTTTGGCTAGAAAAAAAAAAAAAGAAATGCAAGTTTAAGTGTAAAGTTCTAACACATACTAACACATGTCATTAAATGTGTCAATGAGCCTATTTCTCCTTTGAGTTAAAAATGCACCCAAGCTTACCCTCTGAAGAGAGCTTCAATTATTTTGTTTTTCATCTCCATTGCAGAAGGGCCTAGAGATCATCTAGTTCAGGTATGTCATTTTATAAATGAGTAGGCTGAGGTCTGAGCTTGTGCAGAGCTGGACAATGGGTGGCTACAGACCCAGCCGGGCCTGAAGGCTCCCGACACCCAGCCAGAGTCCCTCTTCTGCCACACCATCTCTAAAAAACAAGCAAAGCTCCAACTTCCAGGCTGAACTGGGGGTGAGTCCCCCTGCAGACTCCTAACAATCAGAACACTGATGCACTCAGTATTTAAAGTGAGAAGTAAAAAGGGCAAGGTTCCATTGGGAGCAATTTTTCAAAAAACACAATAGCAGAACATGTCATTTCAGTACAGTACAAGCACTGTTCACCCAGGCCAAAGACACCAGCCTCCTTAAGAGCCAGAGAGATATTCCAGTGCCTCCTACAGCTCCTTATCCCCCCACCCAGGTCCTCCTAACCAGTCACCCTTCCCACCCTAGTAAACACTGAGGACTCGGAAGTAACAAGTGACCAGGTTATTGTTTTCCAGCATTAACTTGATCTTACAACCCCCAAACTGTGATCAATAGACAATATGAGTATTCCCCATCTATGAGCATTTTCTAAATAATATCCTCAGCAGGTTTTGAATAGGAGCACTTATGTGGAAAACACAAAAGAAAAGGATAGCTAAGACGCTTCACACTGCATCATCGGCAGAGACGCTTTGATGTAATGGGTCACACTGGATTGGCTGGGTTCAGGCAAAGGGCTCAGCACTGAAGCCACGCTTGGAGGGGTCTAGGGAAGGATGACACAGTTCCTGCCCTCGAGGAGAGTACAGTTATCTTCAAGAAATAACAACTGCAAAAACAAACATTAAAGAAGGCATATAATTATGTGCTAAGTCCTGCCATGTGGACGGAGGGTTCTGCAGGAGTGCAGGTAATTGTAGCAGGAGAGCTGGGTGGGAAGTCAGATGTGCTGCCAGAAGGCGCTGCCACTCCTGGAGTCCGAAGGAGAAGTCAGGTTTGCAAAGGCAAGGGTGAGAGAGCAACTTCAGTGAGGGCCAGGAGTCATCTTCCCGGGCCAGAGAACAATCTGTCTTGGTGCAGTGGAGGTGCTATTTTGAGAAGCAATGGCAAGTAAATCTCTTAGACCGAGACTAGGTCACGGAAGATCTTGAGCACCCATCCAAACCCATGGGAAGCTGCCTGTAGCCCTTAGGGATTCCATCAGTTCCCTTCTGGGGCTTCCACTGGTTGTAAAGTCATTGTGGCATTCCTACAAGCAAAAAGCCTGGGAAAAGGGAGAACCCAGCCCAGGGTTCTGAGGTCAAGGTGGTGGGCTCAGTGGCCTTATAGAGGTCTGTAGCCACTAACTGGCACAATTAGCAGATGTGTGATGGAAGGTCCCAGCTGTGTGATGGAAGGACCCTGTCAAGCATTCACTGATCTGGTTAGGACCACTGGTTACTGAATTCAAATAAACATGCTGAGCTTCCGTGTGGAGATCAAAGATCTGCCCTTTCGTTCTTGCCTCACAGCCCTGTCAGTGGTTTGGAAAACATTTGCCTTGACCCATATCACAAGTCAGAAACCAAACTCTTTAAACCCATGAATCCCACTCGTAAGAATACACCTTAAGAAAAAAACACACGAGAAGAAAAGGTGATACACATAATATCTATGAAAGTATTACCTGTAATAACAAAATCTTAAAATCAACTAAATATCCAAAAGTAGAGGAATTGCTTAGAAAATTACCATTTATGATTTATCAAATGAATGGAATATTACCCAACATGTTTTAAATGCAGCCTTGAGAGAGATACAGAAATGTGGGAAAATATTTGGGATAATGGTAAGGAAACACAATCCTATTACAACTTCTACATAGACTATAATGACAACTAATTAAAATATGAATATTTATGTGAAAAGACTGGCAGAAGAACATAAAAATGAAAACACAAAGACTATGCAAGACATTTATTTTTATTTATTTCCTTTCTCATTGTTAGATTCTTTTCTTTTTGTCTAGGGTGAAAATGTTTGAATTCAAACAAATGAAAATTATAGATTTTTCTATTTTTTCCACAGTAGTTGGTTTCCCAGGACAATCCATCAAGGTCTGTCGATGGCCCAGCTGAAACCCACATGTTCACAATCCAAAGTGCACCCTATCTGACATCTCCTCTGAACACCGCAAAACTACACAGGATGTCCTCCCATCCCAAACCAGCTTCTGTGCCAGCATCCCCCACCTTTGGGAATGGGCCTGCCATGCTCCTGCTTTCTAACTGTCCTTATCCCTTCTCTTCCTTCACTCCCCACATCCAATCTGCCACCACAGCCAGCGACTGTCCCCCTCCAGACACCTGTAGCATCCCCCTCACTTCTTTTTTTCATTACCGAAGCCTCCCTAGCCCCAAATGTCATGACCCCTTTTTCCGGACTCCGACATCTGCCTTCTAACTCTTGTATATCCCTTGTCCAATTCATTCTTCCCAAGGTAGCCACAATTATCTTTCCAAAGGGAAAAAAATCTAATCATGTGACACAAACTCCAAGACCCCTCCTCCCCTTCCATGGCATCCCATGACTCTCAGGCCACAGTCAAAGCTCTTTGGCATGGCCTGCAAGCACCTGCATGGTCAGAACACTAGCATCCCTCATCCATCCACCACAGCCACCCTGATCCCTCAGGACCAAGGGCCTTTCCTCTGCAGCACTCACCCAAGTAGCACTTTGCACTTATGCCACTGTTTGTACAGGGACTGCATCTATCAGTAGACTGCAAGCTCAGGGAGGGCAGGGGTCGTAGCTCTCTGACTCCCCATTTCCATAATCCTCTCTCAGCGTATGGACACAGAACGGGCATTTGATGAGTATTTGTTAAATTAACGAGTGAGGTAAATGGTACTAAAAAATCTCTCTTTAGCCATTATGAAAGATAACTTATTTGATCCATTAAAAATACATATATACAGTTATGCATCACTTAACAACAGGGATATATTCAGGGAAATCTATGTGTTGTCAGGTCATTTTGTCATTGGGCAACACAGAGTGCACTTACACAAACCTAGATGGTAGAGCCAACTACACACCTAAGCTATGGCTATGTGGTATAGTCTATTGCCCCTAGGCTATGACCTGTACAGCATGTGACTATACTGAATACTGTAGTCAACTGTAATACAATGATAAGTATTTGTGATCTAGATATCTATAAGCACAGAAAAGGTACGGTAAAAATACAGTATAAAAGATTTAAAAAAAAGGTACACCTGTCTAGGGTATTTATGACAAATGGAGCTTGCAGGACTGGAAGCTGCTCTGGGTAAGTCAATGAGTGGTGAGTGGGTGTGAAGGCCTAGGCCATTACTGAACACTACCACGGACTTTATAAATATCACGCACTTAGGCTACACTAAATTGTTTTTTAAATTTTCTTTCTTCAATACTAAATTAACCTCAGCTACTGTAATTTTTTACTTTATAAACTTTTAAACTATTTTTTACTTTTCGACTGTTGTAATAACATAACTTAACACAAGCACATTGTACAATTATATGAAAATATTTTTATATTTATTCTATAAGCTCTTCCTGTTTTTAAAATTTTCATTTTTTACTTTTTAAATTTTCTGTTGAAAACTTCTTCCTATTTTTAAAATTTTCATTTTTTACTTTTTAAATTTTGTTGAAAACTTCTATTTTTAAAATTTTCATTTTTTACTTTTTAAATTTTCTGTTGAAAACTAAGACACAAATGCACACATTCGCCTAAGCCTAAGCATGATCAGAATCATTAATATCACTGTCTTCCACCCTCCACATCTCGTCCCACTGGAAGGTCTTTAGAGGCAATAACACGCTTGGAGCTGTCATCTCCTATGGTAACAATGTCTCCTTCTGGACACCTCCTGAAGTACCTGCCTCAGGCTATTTTACAGTTTTTTATAACTGCAGGAGCACACTCTAAAATAAGGACAAAAAGTATAGTATAGCAAATACATAAGCCAGTAACATCATTGTTTATGATGATTATCAACTATTATGTACTATACATTATCGAATGTGCTGAACTTTTATATGACTAGCAGTGCAGTAGGTTTGTTTACAACAGTGTGACCAAAAATACATGAATAATGTGTTGTGCTACGATGTCACCATGGTTACAATGTCACTAGGTGATAAAAATCTTTCAGTTCCACTATAATCTTAAGGGACCACCATCATATACATAATCCCTTGTTGGTCAAAACATTGTTATGTGGCACATGACTGTTACATATCTTTATGTGTACATGCGTGTGTTCCTTACATAAAATGATCATTGAAAATGGCCCCTCAGAAATAGTTTCCCCAGCCAGGTGACCTGGATACAAGGGAACTCCTCTATTCCACTCCTTAAATCTCAACCCCTCTTCCCTTTCCCATTTACCTAGTCTCAACTGAGAGGTGGGCAGTGCTGGCTGAGATGGAAAGACCAGAAATACTGCATGAATTGGAGAAGGTGGAGGGAGTTCACTTGCTATTCCCTCATCACTCATGAGGTCCCTGGCGGCTTTGTCTTGTCTTTAATTCCAGAGCCTGAAGCCCAAAGATAACAGGTTCTTAAAACGTGATTTTGCACCTTCTACTGAAATACAGCTGAGTCTTACATCAGTCCTGTGGACCGCAGGCACAACACTCACAAGCAGGAGACAGGACAGAACTGGTGGCTAAGAACAGGCGATCCAGGACAAGACGGCCTGACTGTGACTCTCAGCTCTCCCACTTCCTACCCATATGATCTTGGCTTAGTCACTCAACCTCTTCATGCCTCTGTGTCCTCATCTGTAAGAATTTCTTCATTTTAAGTTTCCTCATTTGTACTTACTTCATGGGGTGTTTTGAGAATTAAATACAAAAAGCACTCAGAACAGTGTCCAGTACATAACAAACTCTATAAAACAGTTAGGCTGGTATTATCACCTGTGTGAACTTTACTTTCCAACAGGTCTGTTTCAGGAACGGCAAATAAACATTAGTCACCTCCCCTCCACGACCATGCCCATGGCAGACATCACTAATCAAACACAGCATACTTTCTTGATCCCTGAATGTGCCCACAGAATCTTTTCTCAACACAGTACCCATAGAGTCTCATCGCTTAGAGGCATCATGTGTGATGAAATCATTTTGCCATTGCTGGTTTAAATGGATAAAACAAAGATGGCACAGGGGAAGAAGTCATTTTCCTTCTCATTTCTACACTGTGATAACAAACCTCTGAAAATCCCCCACACTATATATTGCTCTAGGGATAAAAGAATAAGGGGAAATCTGAGAGCTACTTTCCACTCCACAATGGGAAAATAGCAAGTTCTTTACAACCAAGAAATGACCCCAGCTCTATTCCTAGAAACCAAGGTGGAGTTTTTAAAGACATTTTCTCATTGAAATTCTGCTAAGGCAAGTATTTGGGGGCCAAAGAACCAAAGATCCTTTAAACCCTTCGTATAGGTTCAGTAAGATATGGGGGAAGGGTGGGCTAACCTGGGAACCTAACCCACCATTTACAAATTTGTTTCAAAATCAATGGCATGTTTCACCACAGAAACAAATTTATTAAACAGAAAAGCCATTCATTAATTGAGCCCTAACTATTGATTACCAGTAGAGTGTCAAATGGAGACACAAGAGTCTCCAACAGGGACATCTGTTACCCAGCCATAGCAGAGTGGGTGCCTCCCAACTGGTGGGTTGGGCACATGCCCCAGCCCCTTCTCTGCTACAAGGGGCACATGCCAAAGCCACATGCTCTGGGAGGACAACCTCTGCTGATGGCAGTGACGTGTCCTCCACCAAGAAGATATGAGGACAAGAAACAGATTTTCATTCATCTTGAGAGCGCAGTGCTTGCAGAGTAGCAGTTAATTAGACCAAGACTGGGTCAAAGTCAACTTCTGGATGTTGAAGGGGATCGGGGGGACATGTTCAAAAGCTTAAGAAGATGATACTGACATTGCTTTTTATTTTGTTTTGTGAATGTCTCATGCACTTCAAATTGTATGACTTTCTTCCTTGAAAAGGGCACAGTAAAACTGCTTGGTAACACATCTACAATAATGCAAAATCAGGCATAAACCAATCAGGGATGAGCTCCCTGTCCTGTGCTCAACTGGGAACACCTAAAATTCGTATCCTCTGGGTAAGGAGGGTGGGGAAAGCAGTGGGGACTGGGTGACCAGGGGACACCACCTAACTGGAGATTCCAGGAACAGCAGCTGCCATCTTGGGAGTCCTGGTTAGCCACTAGACACAAAATCATCTCAGGACTGGAAGAGTCTTGGATCAGACTAAACTCTCAGAACTGCCGGTCATCAAGAAGTACAATCTCATCGGGTCATGTTATTAACCCCATGCCAACCCAACCCATACCGCATGCTCCTGAGGGATCTGGACTGACGTATCAAGTGTTTCTACTGACTAATCCAGCTGCTACTACACTGAGCAGCAGAGAGGAGGGTCACGGTGGGGCTGGAGTAAAGTGCATTTATCTCAGTAATATGGTAAAAATCTGTCAACACCCCAACAAAATATGGTCTCACAGTCCCTCTTCTTATCTGTTTCTTTGTGGCTCCTTCTCCAGGTCACAAAGTCATGGTGGTTCAGGGTACAAGTCAGTCAGGAAGTAAGTAAGGTTCCTATGTGGCCCACAAGCCCTGGCCTCAGACTAGCCACTCCCATCTCTGCAGCGGGCCCCTCAAGGACACTGACTGAGCGTTCTGGGCCCTGATCCTGCCCAGGTCCTCTCCGCAGATGCTAAGGATGAGGTGGCTGTCACTCAAATCTGGGGCAGGGGCTCTGAGAGAGGATGGAGTCACGCCTCTAGTCATACATGCCCAGGGGCACTGAGGTTCTGGTTGTGTTTGTCCCTCACAGCTCCTACAATGTGCGATATGGTGTTTTAAGGTGCAAGTTAACCAAGAGTGGGTTTTGCCCCCAATAGCAGCATGTTCTATATGTCAGGAGAGGCTACGTGGGGACAAACATGGTGCTGGGTGAGTCACTGGGAGGGGCTTCTCCCCTCCCTGCTGACCACTACGCCCACTCATCCTGTGTCCCAGGAATTCCCAGTGCTCCTCCCTGACCTGGAAGGCAAGCGACAACCAGCAGCTGGGACCCGTGATGAGGAGCAGCAAGGCAGGGAGTCCCCCAGGAAGGCCATGGTGGGAATAAGGCAAATGTCCCCAGCTGCTGTGGGTACCCAGAAGGTGAGATTTACTCTCAAAGCTGGAGGTGAAGGGGAAGGCAGCTCACTGCTCTCCCCCATGGTGACCAGGGACCATATGCAAGTGGGGGCTGCCCCCAAAACAAAAGGTATGTGATGGAAAAACAGAGGACAATTGGACAACAGTGAAAAATCACAGCACGAAAAACAAATCAGGTGTCATTCAGGATTTTATCCTCTTGCTCTGACCACGGCCTCCCCGCAGTCAACCCCGCCCTCCACGACCATCTGGCCCGCTCCCTTTGCTCCAGACGCAGCAGAACGGAGATACACCTCCCGGCTGGTAATGGAGCCGATGCCCAGCTCAGGCAACCCCCATACCTCCCCAGGCAACCCCCATACCTCCCAGCTCTTTCTGCAGAAGAACAAGCCTGAGCTTCAAGAGGTCACAATAGGATGGGCAGAACAGGCCAGGCTGAAAGCCCAGCCAGCACAGTAACCCACCTTGGTGAGGCATAAGCTGGTACCTAGAGGCGGGTCCTTTGGCTCATGTTCACTCCCTGGCAAGGATGTTCTCCACATTGATAAGTGCCAGGAGTTAGTGTTGTGGGGCAAAGATAAATTTCACAGATCCTACACTCAAGGACTCCATTTCATCAACCAGTTATTAAGAAAAATCCTAAGAGAGGATTTTTAGCCCAAAGAGTGAGGAAATAAGGATGAGGACACATTTTTAATAGAATAAAGCATTATGCAAATAGAGGGCATTCTTCCTTCTCATGATTTGCCTGCTGCATTTCCTGAAGTCTGCTCAGTGCACAAGCCCACTAGTGTGACTACAAGCCTAGGATGGCAAAGCTGAATGGAGATGCCCCAACCACAAGCCCTTTTTATTCATTAAAAAAAAACTGGCGGGCAGATCACGAGGTCAAGAGAGCGACGCCATCCTGGCCAACATGGTGAAACGCCATCTCTACTAAAAATACAAAAATTAGCAGGGCACGGTGGCGCGCATTTGTAGTCCCAGCTACTCAGGAGGCTGAGGCAGGAGAATCACTTGAACCCGGGAGGTGCAGGTTGCAGTGGGCCAAGATCGCACCACTGCAGTCCAGCCTGGCAACAGAGTGAGAATGCGTCTCAAAAAACAAACAAACAAACAAAAAACCCAGCCTAGAGTGAGCCTACCGGCCTAGGGTGAGCCTACCATGCCCCCTATTCCCTGAGACTGCAGACTGTCTGGGGAGTGAAGAAAGGTGATCAGAGGGATCCCCCATTAGAGTGCAAGAGGAACCCAGCGGCCCTAGAAGACAGCATGGAAACCATTTCTCCAGGCTCCCAAAGCAGGCATCCATGATTCTGCAAAAGACAGAGGTTGCATCACCAAAGACAAAGGGAGGAATGATGGGAACTGATATTATGCAGATAAATTGTTAATTATATAAATACACAATAGATGCTCAGTCTCAAAAGAGAGACTAGCTTTGATTCGTGCAAATGGCAAACTTGCGAAAACAATGCCGAGCACTGACCAGGCTTCAGTGAGACAAGCTTTCTCCTACACTGCTCATGGCACATGAAACGCTACAATCTAATTGGAAAGCAGTCTGACAATAGGTACCAAGAATGCCAAAAGCCAACCTGGGCAACATAGCGAGACTCCCATTGCTACAAAAAATAAATAAATAAGTTAGCCAGGCATGGTGGTGTGCACCTGTGGTCCCAGCTACTAGGGAGGCTGAGCCAGGAGAAACATTTGAGCCCAGTAGTTAGAAGCTGCATTGAGCTATGACTGTCCCATTGCACTCCAGCCTGGGTGACAGAGGAGACCCTGCCACAACTACCACAACCAACCAAGAATGTCAAAAGCATTTCCACCCTTCGACCTAGTCACTGCAATTATAAATAGCTACTGTAGGAGATAATCAGAATTGAGACAAAGAATTCCAGAGATGTTTACAACAGAACTGTTTAAAATACAGAAAAACTGTAAATAAGCTGAATGACCCCACACATGGAGAATAAATTTGTGACACAGTTCTAAGATACAGTATTATATGGTAACTTTTAAAGTATGACCATGAGTACTTTTTTCCTGGCATCAGGAAATAATAATAATATATATGGAGTTGAGTGGGGAAAAAGTAAGAACAACAAAAAAAAAAATAATAAAGTATCCTCCTCAAGTAAAGAACAAAGTCAAGGAAAATAACAAGAAGGAAGCATGGTGATGCTGTAGTCGTGGCTGATTTATATGCTGATTTATGGGTGATTTTGCTTCCTTCTTTATACTTTTATTTATTCCCAAATTTTTCTTAAGCAAATATTTCTTTGCTAATCAATAAATTATCAAAAGAAAAAAAAACTGAAAGCAACGCTTGAAAAAAGGAAAGTTAGCCCCTATCGGGTATATTTTGGAAGTTGTAAAATACTACGTGTTCTCTTCTAAGTCCCACTCCTCTGTTTTCTTTGAGCAGGAAAGAGAAAGCAGTCACCCTCTCTTCCATGACAACAACCCATGACCGGCTGCTTGCCTGCTCCATCACAGGAAGGTGCAGCAGAGCCCTTTTCTTCCCAGGGTTGTGGGCACCTTGAACTATCCTGGCTTGCTAGCTAAGAAACTGCCCCAAGTGACGCACACTCAAGCTGTTCGGGGACTTCCAGAATAAACCAAACCAGCTGTATTACTGGTCTTTGACATCCTCTCTGGTCAGGGCCAAGTCACTGTCCCTGTCTTGGAGAGGGCTTCTGAGCAAGCTTATCAACTCCCAGGTGGGCATGTGTAGGCAGGGCGGATGGACGTTGGCAGAGAGACCTGGGAACCCATATCTGCCCCACCAAGGCCTGGGGATCTGCATTTCAGCCAAACCCCATCACAGTTAGAATGTGGCTCCTGAACACTGGTATTTGCACAGTGCTTACTGGTGGTGATACAGACGGAAAGACAACCCTGGCCCTCTCTCCAGCCTTCACCAGCCCGCAATGCCCGACCCACTTCTTAGGGTTGCTGATCAGACACGTCAACACATGCCTCTGTGTTGACAGCACTGCCTGCAGCTCTCCAAGCATCCTGCATCTCCGGCAAGCACCAGACTAGCCTGAGTTCCCAACACAAGCACTCCATCATCATTAATTCCATTTTTAGAAGAAATCCATTTTCACCTTTGTAATACTTTTATTAATTGCCACATTTAAGTACCATGTCTAACTTAGGCGTCTGTGATAAGCATATAATATTACATTAATTGATGGAAATTTTCCACCTGACTTTTATGAAATCTCACCACCACTATTAACACAAGTAATTCCTAATGACTACCAAAATTAGATAATCTTGAGAATATAAATGACAATGAAAATAAGGTTATTTTAAGGATTAAAATCTGTATTTCAGCCTGATGCCTGTGACACCCTTGTGAATAACAACGTTGAAAGTAGGTGTACTGAAACACATGGCTATAGACCAAAAGGAATTTGTTTTATACTAAGACATGTGTTTCCTATTGAGTCTAAAACATATTTTACATTTTGAAGATGAATGTTAAACATATCTATAAAGAGTCATATACAAATCATACTTATTATTCTTGTTTATAAAGGTACTGTCCTGGCCAGGTACAGTGGCTCATGCCTGTAATCCCAGCACTTTGGGAGGCCGAGGTGGACGGATTACTTGAGGTCAGGAGATCGAGACCAGCCTGGCCAACATGGTGAAACCCCATTTCTACTAAAAATTAAAAAAAAAAATTAAAAATAAAAAAAAATTAGCCGGGCATGGTGGTGCATCCCTGTAATTCCAGCTACTCGGGAGGGTGAGGCAGGAAAATGGCTTAAAGCCAGGAGGCAGAGGTTGCGATGAGTCGAGATTGCACCACTGCACTCCAGCCTGGGTGACAGAGCGATAATCTGTCTCAAAAAATAAAAATAAATAAATACATTTTTTAGAAAAGGTACTGTCCTTCAAAGACGTGTAGGGGCCTCGCTTCCTGACCCACAGAAGCAGCAAAGTTATTTCCTTCCTCCCCAGCATCTGTCCATGCTGGTTTTGCCACATTAAAATCTCAGTGTTGTACAGAGTCCCCAGGTATTGTGGATGTAATTAAGGCATAAGGCCCACCGAGGAACTTGCTCATCCTATCACCCAAGTCATACTGTCACTCTGGAGCCCAACGTGTGCCTCCAAAACATCATTAAATGTTTCTACAAGCAGTTCTACACCACAGCACGAAGAGAAGGTGGCACACGTTTCTAGAGAAGCTCCACAGTATACAGCACATCTCTCTTCCTTGTGAACATGTCAGCGGCCTTAAGCATGTACCACACTGTCCCTTGAAGGCACATCGTATGCCTGGAGGTTGCAAGGGGCACTGTCAGCTGTCAGAGAGCAGCTGAGCGGGGAGTGGTCCAGTGGCTCCCCCACCCCGCACCCTCTCCTCTCTGACAGTGATAAATGATCGGAGGTAATGGTCAGCTGAGCCTGATGGGCCCACACCTCCCCTTCCAATCTGTTCCAGACCAACACCAACCTTTCACCCTTGAACACTGCTGTCAGCTTTACAAAGCAGGCCTGCTGCAGGGTAAGGTCAGGGCTATTGGCTTTCTGGCTGCTATTCGTTCGTGAAAACGAATTCTGGCTTTATTTCTTGATGGAAGCTCCCCATCAAAAATGGAGCATGAACTGTGTCATTATAAACTTTACAGCAAACTTGTCTTGATTCTCTTTTTACATGAGAGATGAAGGAGATAGCTAAATATGTGACTTTAAGAAGAAAAGAGGAATCATTGTAGATATAAACATAGATATCAGTTTTGCTCAGGCCAGCTGGCCTCCATTAAAAACACAAGGCTTCCAATTTATTCAATTATTGTCTCTTGCTGAGGTTCAGAAGACAAAGAAGATTCTACAGGAAATAATATAGTGATAAAGAGATAGAAAATTAGGCCAGGCACGGTGGCTCACACCTGTAATCCTAGCACTTGGGGAGGCCAAGGTAGGCAAATTGCCTGAGCTGAGGAATTCAAGACCACCCTGGGCAACATGGGGAACCCCCATCTCTGCTAAAATACAAAAAATTAGCCTGGCGTGGTGGCATGTGCCTGTAGTCCCAGCTACTCAGAAGGCTGAGGCAGAAGAATTGTCTGAACCCGGGAGGCAGAGATTGCAATGAGCCGAGATTGTGCCACTGCACTGAAGCCTGGGCGACAGAGTGAGACTCAAAAAACAAACAAACAAAAAAGATAGGAAATTAACATGGAACATTAACAAGGTTCATCCCAGTTGAGCTTCCATAGCACAGGCTTTGCTCACGGACAAAGACAGTCATCACAAGATTGCTTGTAAAAATACTGGTCCTAACAGTTTGCATAAAATAATCCATGCTATGCAATAATCAGCATTGTTATAAAGAATAGGGTAACTATAGTTACAGATATGAAACTATCTACCAGATACACAGTTAATTGAGGGAAAAATCAAAGTGCAGGAGAATAGTACTGCATTCTATAATTTGTTTTTAAAAACTCTTGTTACTTTTGAACTTCTGTGTGATGTATTACTTTTTCAGAAACGGAAATAAAAAATATTTTAAACATCTCCAGTCTTTGCTCCCCCAGTGAACACCTGGAAGCCCAGGAGTCTCTTCCCAGGGCTGAGGGCCAGGCTGGGATGTAGGAGTGGCTGGCAGCTGCAGGTAAGCAGCCCCTGAGCTCTGATCAGCCTCATGCTTAAACTGCATCCAGTCCCAGGACAAATGTCAAAGATGATCCCATTTGTATCATATGGTAGAAAAACTGCAACCCAGCTTTAAAATTCCAAGTAAGTACCCTAGAAGGCCTCAAGATAGAGCTATCACTTCATTTCCTCTACAAAATTGGGCTGCAGTCCCCAGAGTAATATGTTAATTGTTTTTTGGTTTTTTTCCTCACTCTGTGGAAATGAGGAGGCAGAAGTGCATTAGCATGATCTTGGCTCACCGCAACCTCTGCCTCCCAGGTTCAAGCCATTTTCCTGCCTCAGCCTCCCAAGTAGCTGGGATTACAGGTGGCTGCCACCACACCTGGCTAGTTTTTGTACTTTTAGTAGAGACAGGTTTCACCATGTTGAACAGGCTGGCCTCAAACTCCTGACCTCAAGTGATCCACCTGTCTCGGCTTCCCAAAGTGCTGGGATTACAGGCAGGAGCCATGGAGGCTAGCCTTAATTATCTTCTTTTTAAGGGGGGGAAGGATTTTAAGAGGATCAAGCATGCAAAATTTTGGATAGAAATAAAAGATTATTCAAAAATGAAGTATTTGTGGGTTCACCCCTTTTTTACTTTGGAGGAGAGAGGGGGAGAGTGAGACTCGTACAGCAGCAAGTATTTTGCCTTTCTGGAACTTGGTGCTGTTTGAATTATTGCTCCATCCCTCTTCCCTCTCATCCTTTCTGTTACTCTCTCTCTTGCAATTTTTCTTCCATAACAGAAGAGTATCTTAAAATCTATTTTATATGTTCACATTCTGAATTCTAAAAGCTGTTGGAATGTTATATATTTCCCTTAAATTATCAAGTTTTTACTATGAAGCTCTCAATTGATTTTCAATAAGTGGGTAGATTTTTTTTAAAAAATCCTGCCCTTACTAGAGATACAGCACATGTAAATCAGCTACTCTAACATTTTCTTCTAAGGACCTGTCATTCTGAGATAGCAGACTTGGTCCCATGGCTAATTAAGGGAAGTTGGATAACCCAGCGCATATTCATATTAAGAAACATAATGAACAAAATCTTCCACTTTGGTTCTACACACGACACAGACAGGCGCTTGGTGGTGCTTTTTTACACTTGCCTTTCTATGAAAGATGGAGGCGAAATAGAACATCTTAACTCAGGGAAGTCAGTGGAGATGGTAGTGGCTCTTTAAACACACTGCTGGGTGCCTGACTTCACTAACAGATGGAGATTAGGGATAGCAGCACCGTCTGCTTGGTTATCGTCCCTGAATACATGCTCAATAAAAACTTGCACATTCTAGCAATGGACACTTCTTTGATGGATTCTGTAATGACTGAATGGAGCTTTGCTGAATAAAATTACCGCAGTGTCTGAAAATATCAAACACAGGGGAGACAGAGGAGGCGGCCTCACACTGAACCCACTCTGGAGCCTGCGCAGTGTCTCTCTCAGCGGGAAGGCCATAGGCCTCCATAAAGCCATGCGCTGAATGGGGTCTAAGGCAGGCCCAAAATGTTTCTCATGTGCTAATTCTGATCAGATGTTTTTGGAAGCACCTGAATAAGACCCTAGAATTCTAGAAATGTAGAAGACGAGTGTGACTTGGCATACCTCAGCTATAAGAAGACTTCAGCATAGGCCTTGCAGTAAATCTGATTTCGAGGAGAATTATGTCTTGATAGGTCTGCCAGGATATTAGTGCCAAGACTAAATTATAGTAATCTCTATTTTCTGTCACTTTTTCTTCCCAAAAGGCTTATAGCTCAAAATGTAAACTATTGTTGAGAAGGTTTCTGGGGAGAACATAATATAATATGGGCAAACCCCCAATTTAAAAATGAGTCACATTTCAAAAGCATGTTTATGAAATGGGTGTCTGAGATTTAGAAACCATTTTCCATGAACATGCTGTTATAAACGGTGGTAAACTTGCCCAGAAGGGCCTCCTCAGCCCATAATGAGTCTCATATATAATTCTTTCCAAGGACCCTGAGCACCATTTACAGAATACTGTTTCAGTGAGAAAAGCATTCTAATTTCTACCCTATAACATCAAGAACATACCCTTACATACTGGTCAAGCTGGTTGCAAGCTAGGATAGGGGAAAAGAATACATTTCCCATCCTTGCTTAAGCCTTTCAGCTACTAACTATAGACAGAAATCTCCACATTGTGCTACTCATCACTGAGGAATGAGTTTTCTTCCCATGGAGAGGAGGAACTCCCTTGTTGCACAACAACCACTGTTCAATTGCAAGGTACACTTTAAGTTAAGTGGTCTAATTTCTTATTAGAATAGGAAGCTGGGTGTTTCTGGCTCAGGGTGTCCCACAAACATGCAATCAAGGTGTCAGCTGGGCTGCGGTCTCATCTGAAGGCTTGGTAGGGGGAGGATCCACTCTACCGCTCACTGGTTGGAAAGGCTCAGTGAACTTGAGAGCAGATCCTCCCCTGGTTCTAAAGGTATAGCCACAAATTCTGATACTCTTCTGTCAAGAAGTGGAGCTTAATCCCTTTCCTTTGAGTGTAGGCCGAACTTAGTGATTCACTGCTACTAAACAGAACACAACAGGAGTGATGGGGGTTTGATTCCGTGAGTGGATGATAGACTATGACTTCCATCTTGGGTGCTCTCTTGTTCTCCTTAGATGGCTTGCTGTGGGGGAAACCAGCTGCTATATCGTAAGGCAGCCCTATGAAGAGGCCCATGTGGCAGGAAACGGAGGCTTGCCAACAGCCCTGTGAATGAGCCCCAGAAAACACAATGCAGCTGACACCTTGACTGCAGCCTCGTGAGGAACACTGATCCAGGGGCACCCAGCTAAGCCATGCCCACAATCGTGACCTAAGAAAACTATGGGATAGTAAATGAGTGTTGTTTTAAACTGCTAAGTTTTAGAATAATTGATTATACAGTGATAGAAAATTAATACAGTAATGTGTTCTAATAAAAGAAAAATAATGCAATTTTTTTCCAAAGGAAAACTAATGACATAAGCCAAAAAAAAAAACATCTTTATAATGCCAATTTCCACAGGAACAATATATTTCCAGTCTAACTGATTTACAAATCGACCCCTAGAACATGACCCATTTCTAAGTTGGAGACTATCTCTATGTGGTTTATTTTCTCCACAAACTTTGTTCCCTCGTGTGCTGGCATTGCTAAAACAGGCATTTCTGAACCACTAAAGTCTAGGAATAGAGTGTAAGATATCAAAGTAGGGCTTTTAGCACTTTTGTAATAATTCTGGCAATTTTTATTCATTTGCATTATCCAGGGGATTGCTACTTGCTTTTCCTGCTGTTTTGTTTGGGGAAGTTATACCTCTGCCTCATAGGGCTTACAAAAACAATGAAGAAAAATGTTTTTCCAAAATTCCCAGGGAGGCTAAATTTAAGTTAATGCCAAAGGCCTAACTGCAATGGGGAGAATATTCTGTATTTCGGTGGGGTTTTGTTTTGTTGATCAGTTGGTTAGGTGAGTCTGGGGTCTCTTTTCTCTGACTAGACAGAAGTAAAAAGATGGTGGGGTTATTCCTATTCATAATGATGTCTATAGTAAAATATGTTTTTTCCCTTTTGCTATAAAAATAAAATAAAATCTAAACATTAAAATTGTTGCTGCTATTAAGCTAGGTGATTTATTAGCCTAGATACTTCATCCATAAGCAGCTTAAGGTTATAGGACCTCTAGTCTAAGCAGCAGAAGAATGGGACGCTATGCTTATAGTGTCTCATAAAATCCTCAACATCTCTGCTCACGGTCATGAGACACCAGAAAACTAATGCTGAAGCTGATCGACCAGTCATGGCCCTAGTTTACTGACTCCTGAACTTAGTCTCACTACACTCTGGTCTCCCTCTTCCTCATTTTAGATTTTAGTTAAGTCCCTGGCAAAAACACGTAAGGACGGGATGAGTAAAGAAAGGAGGAAAAAATACCAGTTGAACACATAGCAATGTCTCCTACCCTTCTTGAAAATGACAAAAACCATAGGTCACAGAAGTCTCAACTCAGATACTGCTTACAAGAAATTTTTGGATAACCATTCAGGAGACACAAACCACACAGTAGGTTAATGGAAAGTCTAATATAAAGAATACTACAATAAAATAGTAACTACGTGATCTAAACTCTCTCTGGCAAACACGGACTGACAGAAAGTGCCCAAGGAAGACAGACATGAAAGGACTCAGATGTCTTGGAGAAGGTGTGCTTCAGCCACCAGACGGCTGAGAAGTTTGCGGGCTTGGCCAGGCCAGAGCTGATCTGGAGACACCAGACAGGCAACATCACCCTCTGGATTGCAGATTGTCAGGAACTAGCAGCATGACGTGCTGGGGGTGTCCAGGCACTGACGGGGGCAGGAGGCCTTGGAATCATCTGCGGGGATGCTGGGCACTGCCACGGACAGAAGCGGCACAGGCAGGGGCGGCCCAGGGGCTCTGGTGCCCTGTGGGGAGGGCTGCAGAAACATTACCACCAGGCTGAGGGTTTGAGGTCGCAGAGACTGAGTTCTGGGGCCATGACTGGGGCAGGCTCAACGGAAGGTCCTCATGCCCACAAAAGAAATGGCAAGAGAGACTTCCTCCAGCAATGACCCCCCTCCCCCAAAGCGCCCTCTACTGACAATGCTTAATGTCGTGCTCACATTAAACAAGAAACACCAAGGACATTCCTTGGCTTATCACAGAGCTTACACAGAAAGATGTATTTGGAGCTAAGAGGCAACAAATTAATAACAGACACACTTCAAAAGATACAAATCACCAAAAAATAACACGAGAAATAGAAAATCTGAAATAGAAAACTCCATGCTCCCAGATTTTCACTGAGAAACTCTAGATACATTCAAGCAAGAGATAATATCAATCCTATGTAAACGCCTTGAAAAAAGAGGAAGGGGGAACCTTTCCCAGCTCATTTCATAAGACCCACATTACTCTGATGCCAAAACCAGACAAAGACACAAGAAAACTAGAGACAGATCCCCTTTATGAACACAGAATTTAAAATTCTTTAATAATACTGAATTCAGGAATATATAAAAAGTATAACAATCATGGCCAAGTGGGATTCATCCAAGGAATTCAAAGTTGTTTTAACAATGAAAAAATTCAATTAATGTCATTTACCATATTAACTGGCTAAAAAAGAAAAAAAATCTGATCAACTCAATAAATGCTACAAAAAAGCATTTGATACAATTCAATACCTACCTGTGTTTAAAAAACTTTTTTTAGTCAACAAGGGAGATAAGCTAATAAAAAAAATCTACTAAAAAGCTACAGCTGCATCATACTTTATGGTAACAGACCGAACGTTCTCAGCCTTAAATTAGGAATGAAGCTAGGGTTTACACTCACTCTACTTCTATTTGACATTGTAGTGAGGTCCTAGTCAGTTCAAAAAAGGCAAGAAAAAGAAATAAAAATCGTACAAAAATGAAAGAAGGAAAATACTTTATACGCAGACAACATGATTGTGTAAGTAAAAAATCCTAAGGAAAAAAGCTATTTGTACTAAAAAGTTTACCAAGCTCACCAAATGTAGGTCAGTATGCAAAAATAAACTATAATTTTACATAGTAGCAACAAATGAAATGTTAATTTCTTTTTAAAAGAAGTACTTTACATAATAACAACATATAACATGAAATACTAGGGAGATTTTTAATAAAATGTCAGTAAGGTCTGTACCCTGAAAACTATAAAACACTGTTGAGAGAAATTAAAGCATATAGAAATCAATGGAAAGATACATCATGTTCATAAACTGAAAGACTCTGTAAGATGTCAATTATCTTCCAAATTAATCTGTAGTTCAGCACAAAGCTGATGGAAACCTCAGAAAGGTTTTTGTAGACATTGATGAATTGACTCTAAAGTTTAAGTGAAAAATTAAAATACCTAAAATAGCAAAAACAATTTGGAACTATCAGTTGGAATACTTCCACTACCTGATTTCAGGACTTACTGTAAGGTTACAGTAATCAAGACAGTGTGGTAATGGCATAAGTTCTACAAATGAGTGGAACAGAATAGAGAAGACAGGATTTAATTGTGACAAGGGTGCTGAGATAATTCAATCAGGAAAGGACAGTCTTTTCAGCAAATGGTGCTGGAACAACTGTATATCTAAATGGGACAAAATAAACCCCAACTCTTACGTCAAACCTTATACGACAATTAACTTTAAATGGATCGTAGCTATAAATGTGAAAGTGCTCACAACCTGAATACAGTTCCCCATTCTTTTTCTTTCATTCACTCGAAATCCGTAATTGTGGAAATCAACTGAAAACTAAATACTTTCTCAAAATCCACCTCTGTTTTTGTTGCTATTTTGACATCCTAACGAAACAGTCTGAACACAACCTTATGAGAGGAATGTGACTGTTAAACGATAACATGAGGAAGTTTCTTTGGAGTGATGAACAGTTCTATAGATCTGTGTTACACAAATCCACAAATGTGATATAATTTCATAGAACTTACACCAAAAAAAGTGCACACAATAACTGGTGAAATCCAAATAAGATCTGTATTTAAAAGTATTACACCAATGTGCATTTCCTGGCTTTGACAACACACTGATTATGTAAGATATTAACATTGGGGGAAGCTGGTGTAAAGGCACATTGGAACTATGTACGATTTTTGCAGCTTCTCTTCAGTCTTCAACTATTTCAAAAGAAGTATTTTTTTTAATCTTGTGAGAAATCCTCAACATGTAAATATTCCCTAATTGTTTAAAAGGTGAACTTACAAATACTCAAAGTCTGTAAAGCAAATTGAAAAGATTTTCCTTCCCACAGCATAATGTTCAAAGTTCTGAGGCAGGAACCTGTTCATTAAATTAAATCCCATGAATTTATAGTCTACATGTATAATGACTGTAAGATCAAATAATTGATAGTTCTTTCTGTTATACAACAGAACTACTATAGAACTACCTCTGAAGACAGAAATATCCAGAGTACAATTCCTTGCTGGCAGGTAACATGATGTTTATCAAATACACTTAAAGGACCTTCTAGGATTAATTTAAAAACAATAATAGCAAATAACTATTGCCTGCCGGTAACGCTTAGTGTAATCAAAACACTATGGGAAGAAATACAAACCAGGAAGTCATGCCTTGTCATTACAGTGGATAGCCCACCTATTTATTTCTCAGATTTCCAGGCCTCAGTTTGTTGAGAAATGTATTAAGTCAATGTTGCCTTGGGCTGTGGAACGATTTTTGAAAGGGTGGTTGTGTAAGTCAGGCACCTGCACAGTACTCTAGCTGCTGCAGTCCTAGTAAGCTTCCTAACATACAACATGCGGCAGAAGCTGGTGGTGGAAGGTAGCTTGGGTACCGGTGTAAATCAAGTTCCTCATTAAATCTCCATTTCCTTTCCTGTGCTTCTTTCCAAATTCCACAAATAGTGGAATACAAAAATTTTTACTCCAGGACACATCCAAGAATGAGTAAAAAGGAAACCCTTCAAGACACTCCAGGTATCACCGGCCAAGTTTCAAGCCATGCTCAGTCACTGTGGATCATGTGGAGACCAAATGTCAAAGGGGGCTCAATCAGCGGCTGGTCGTACCATTTCCCGAAGTTCTCACACTGAGGAAAGATTCTAAAACAATCCTCTGTAGCATGCTGCCAGGTACCCATGTCTTTAAAATCTAGTTGAGATGAAAAGTATAGCTCCAGTTAAGCTCAAAGTAAGTCCCAATTGAAAGAAACACTTCATGAAATTGTACAGAAACAAAGGCAACCCTCTGCCAACACTAAAAAGCATGAATTTACAAGATCAACAATCGGAATGACTGATGACAGCTCACACAAAAAGATCTAAGGCTGGTATTTTTACAAAAACCAAAGCAAGATCTTTTTCTCCATACAGAGCTCAAAGACAAATGACATATAGGTTTTAAATCTAACATTTCCACTGAAAAAAACAATAGCAGCACGGCAGGACTAACGTTATGTTAGGCAGAGGCAGCTATCTGCTTGGTGTGACCTCTCCCCGCCCCACCCATCACAGCCACTACTACCCCAAATCCCTTTAGGAGGCAACAAAGCCTTTCACCTGCAGTTAAAGGTTTAAATTGTATGCGCTTTCAGGAGAACTAACACAGTGATGATTTTACCCAAAGGTAAAGGATTACTACTCAATTAGTTATAGAACAGGGGATTGGCAAAACCATGGCCAGCTACCCATATCCAGCCTGCCTCCTGTTTTTGTACAGCCTATGAGCTAAGAGTGGTTTTCATATATTTTAATGGCTGAACAACCATTAGAAGTACTTCATGACACATGCAAATTCTAAGAGATTCAAATTTGAGTGTCATTAAATAAAATTTAATGGGAACACAGCCACACTCATTCATTTATATACTGTCCATGGCTGCCTTCACTCTACAATGGCAGAGTGCAGTCATCGTGACAGGAACCGTATGGCCTGCAAAGCCTAAAATATTTACCATCTGGCCCTTTATAGAAAATGTTTGCCAGCCCCTGTCCTAGAACAGGGATGAGAAGAGGATGGCAAAGTGAGGTTACAAGGAAGCACCTCTTTCAGTGAAGAGGTGAATACATGATAGGAAAAGGGCCACGTGAGGAAAGGCCAGGAGCACAGAAGGCCAACCTGGCTCACCTTGCCACTGTGTCCTGGTCCAACACGGTAAGGATCAGTAAGAGGCACGCTGTTCCGATACGTATGCAGTATTGTGTGGAAAGTGCCATGGTCAGGGGACAAAGGAACTGAGTGTGCAGCTCCCATGGGTTCCACTCCCCCCAACCCAGAACTCCTCCTTTGCACAGGTCAATAACCCCTCTGAGTTGTGCTTTCCTTCTCTGAAAAAAAAAATGAATGGAAATTACCCCTATCTTATGGAGCTGTTGTGAGAATCATAAGGGGTGATTCACACGAAAGCACTTGGTCCTGGCATTAGAGTTGAGCCTTGCAAGATGAGTGGGTTTCCGTAGGAACACAGGACTCAAAGGTCCAGAGGACTGAGTGAATGGTCAGTTCAGGCCTCATCCAGGATTCCACAAAAAGCGTCACAGTAGCTGAAACAGAAAATACCACCAGGGCCTGGCTCTTGAAGATCACAGAGAACCATCTGCTACTTTCTTCTCCATTGCTCTCTCTTTGGTTCTTTCCCTCTTCTGTCATGGACCTTCTCGCAATGACTCACAAAGACACCCTTGAGCATTCCTCGGCCCACCAGAAGCACTAAGGATTAAGCTGTGCCCAGAGCTGATTCCCCCAGTGGCATCTTCAGGGCATTAACTCTGAGGTAGAAAGGCAGAAACAGGGTTGTCCATCTTACCCCACCCACTCATCATCAGATCGTTTTGCCTATTTGCCCCTACCCACAATGCTTAGGTAAAATCTTTGGGGGAAACCCTAGATCCACAGCTGGTAGCATCTTCCAGCTGCTGAGGGAGAACTAAATGAGATTCCTGGGACTCAGAGTAATTTATAATGAATTCTAATGACTGCCAAGCCCCAGTCGTGATGCATACTGATGAAATGCCCCTTGCAGACAGCTGTCCCTCAGTCACCAATTGTCCACAGGGGGATTCGCATTCGCTAAGGGCACAGCCATCTCCAGAGATGAGAGATCAGCAGGGGCTCTGCAAAAGGAGCAGCAGCCCTTCAGCCTTGAGAGAGAGGATTTCATGGTAAATGTTGGGAATGTTTACCAAAAGCAGAAGGCATGAGGAAAGAACAGTTAAGAACCGGGTCTCAGCCCTGCAATAAAGATCAAAAGGCTACATATGCAAACTGTTTATTCTCATGTTTTATTCAACATCATTTACTTTCTCTCCCTTTGTTCACCCTTGATTTCTTTCCTTTCACAGGTCAAGTGATAAAATCAGGCTATTTTTCAGTACAATGTGAGTGCTGGATTTGGAGTGGGAAGACCTAGGTAGGAATCCTGGTTGCATACAGTTGTCAGTTATACGACTGTGTGTCCTTTGACATGTAAACTAACTTTTCTGAATCTAGATCTCTTCATCCACCAAATTTAGGTCATGCCTGCTCTACCTGTCTACACAAGTTGTTAAGTAGATCAGTGAAAACAAATGGGGAGATGGACGAGGCAAGCTGAATGCATCAGACAAGGCATCCTTAGAGTTGTTTTTAATATGCCTTCATCCTTAAAAATGTCTTGCTAGTTTCTAAAAAAACCGATCAGGGAAGTGTTAAAAATAATAATAACCCTAGAATCCAATGTAAATCAAGCCATTTAATCCCAGTCTGGAAAGAGAAGGATTTTCTGCTATTTTCACCGAGAATAACACCAGCCAAACCTTTTACATCTAGAGAGAAAGTAGTTATCAAGGTTTACTGTTCCCAGGCAGGAAACTGATTCTTTCTGCTTCTTTGGAAGAGGTTTAGAATGTATTAGTGTCTAAGGTGGGGCTTAGAGGGTAAGAGTGGGGATTATTTAAGAGGCTGGCTGTGTAAGAGAGCAGTGAGGGAACTGCTCACTACCATCAACACCAAAATCATCAACACAACCACTTCCATCCCGACCACCACCAATGGCAACAACACCACCTCCACCAACACCATCAACAATAACACCACTATCAAGTCTACCAACACACCATCACTATCAACACTAACAGCACCACCACCAAGACCATCAACACTACCACTCACAATAACACCAACAAAAAACCACTACCAACACCAACAACATCACGAACACCACCAAGACCAACACCACCAACACCACCACCACCTATACCAAGAAAACCAACAACACTACTGTCAACACCATCACTACCAATACCACCAGCAGCAGCACCACCACCAAGACCACCAAGACCATCACCACCACTACCACCACCAACACCACCTATACCAACAAAACCAACAACACTACTGTCAACACCATCACTACCAATACCACCAGCAGCAGCAGCAGCAGCAGCACCACCACCACCACCACCACCACCACCACCACCACCACCAGCTCAGCTTGTCACCCTGATGCCACACCGTCCTCTTTAGCTCGCAGAGAAAAACACTATGCCTCTGTATCTAGGCCTGGGCTTCCAGGGTAGAGTGGGAAAAAAGATTGAAAAAAGAAAGTGTGGGGACAAATAACCTAGCCAGAGATCAGCCTGTCTCCTACTCTCTGCTTACTAATGTTGCTATTCTCCACAATCTGAACTTCTATATTTTGAACCATTTTTGCCTTGACCGCCACTTCTTCAAGCTCCCAGACCCTTGGTCTGCCCCTGACTGTAGCTTCAATGGCCTTCCAAGCACTGTTATGACCTCCTAGTTGTAGGATTCTGCCCTGGCTTTTAATAGTAGGTCCCAGGTGGCATCTCAGCTACTTTGTAAACCTTATACTTTCTGACCCATTATCACACTTAGCCCCTGGCAAACAGAGGCCGTAAGTACCAGATGACACATTGCAGGTCTGTCTTCGGTTGGTTCTCACACAGCCTTGGTCCTAAGCCTAACTAAGCTGTCTTTATCACCTCCTACATCCTAGTGTGACAATGGCCTAAAATGACACTCTCCTGGCTGGGACTGAGGGAGTCAAGGGAGTACCAAGTCTAGGAAGGCAAATAGTCCTCAAGAGCTAAGAGCAAACACAAAGTCAAGATTTAAGATAAACTAAGCTATAACATGAGGGTTCCTAACATGGTCAGCTATAGCATCAGTGGAGACGATAAAGGAAAATGTTATAGGCAGGTGAGGTGGCTGGTTGGCTCATGGAATGTGCTATTTTAAAGACTTGGTCTACACAGTATTATCTGCTTCAAAGGCATGCTGATGTAAAGGGGGAAAACAGAAAATACAGGATTTCAGCTGGATACACTTAGAGCCTTCTCCTTGAGTAACTTGCTTCTCACTAATAGAACATGGCAACACTGAGGACAGCCGCTTATGTGATTAAGTTACAAAGCACTGTGACTAGGACACTCTCTCTGGTGCTTTGATGAAGCAGGCTGCCATGTTGGAAAGGCCCATGTGACAAAAAACTGGGTGTGGCCTCCAGGCGATGGCCAGCAAGGAAATGAGGCCCTGAGCCCAATGGCTCTTGGAAACCTGAATCTCCCCCATTCTCCATGATGTGATGATCACACACCGCATGCTTGTATCATAACATCTCATGTAACCCATAAATACCTACTATGTGCCCACAATAAATAAAAAATAAATAAATAAATAAATAAACTGAATCTTGCCAACAACCACACAAGTGAGCCTGGAAGCAGATCCTTCCCCAGTTGAGCCTTCAGATGAGCTCTCCACCTTATCTAACATCTTGAGGGTAGCCTTGTGAGAGACTCTGAAGTAGAGGACCCAGCTGAGCTGTGTCCGGATTCCTGACCCACAGAAATTGTGAGAGAATAGATGTGTGTTGTTTTAAGGTGCTAGGTTTATGTGATGCATCATTCAGCAAGAGGTAACTGATACACACAGTTTAGTTTATACTCTTGGCCTTAACAGCCTGCACCTTCATCTCTCACTTTGCATATTCTTAGTCATTCTGTAAGTCAAATAAAGGAATATCTGGAATTGGGGTCAGGAATCAGGAAACCTGACATAGCTGCTGCAGCTTAGAGGATAAACCAAGCAAGTCCCTGAAGCCTTTCAATCACCTCCCTGTCTAGTCCCCAGCCTCAAAAAGTTAGGAGGTCAGAGCTAAGCCAAGAGATCCAGATAGGAGCTGTAGATGGGGTCATGTACCAAGAGAACTATATCCTCTCCCTGCCCCACCCTTGTATTTCACCCATATGTCTGTATTTTGAAGAGAAAAAAAAATTTCTTACTTAATCTCCTGCTCACCCCCACTCACCCAAAATGCACACCAATCACGAAGTTGAGCCAAGGCACTTGGGGTCAGGATAAAGGCTTTTCCCATGCAGGTACATGACCCAAGGGTAGAAGTGAGGTCTCCAGAGCACTAACACTGTTGGTGAGACTACCTCTATGTGACCCCAGGAAGTCCCACCAGCTTGACCTTCATAATACGTCTGGACCACGACCACTTCTCACCACCTCCATCATGACCCAGCAAGTTCATCTATTTCCTCTGCTAGTGAATTGCCTCCTGACTCTACTCTTGCCCTCTCTCTGGGCTCCTCTCCACCCATCTGTTCTCCTCAGTAATTGCCTTAAATGTAAATACAATCATGTCATCCCCAGCTTCCATGTTTCCTGTGGTTGTCCATGACTTTTAGGATACATTTCAGTCTTCACTTTGGCCTACAGGGCCCCTAGAATCTATCCCTGATGGGTCTTCGGCCTCATTTCCTCTCCCATTGTTTTTTTTTTTTTAATTTTATTATTATTATACTTTAAGTTTTAGGGTACGTGTGCACAAGCTATACTGCACGCTGTCTTTTGATCATCTCAAGATTCTTACCCCCACAGGGTGTTTGCACTTGCTGGCCTACTGCCTGGAACATTTCTCCTGCAGATATTTCACTTTCTGACTTCATGCAGGTTTCTACTCAAACCCTTGCTCTCTAGATAATAGCATCCCCTTCTGCTCCCTGCCAGGCCTTCTGCTTTAAGTTTACTTTGAAACATGTAGCACTATCTGAAATTATAATATATCTGCTTACAGGTTATGTTCTGTCCCCTCCTCCCATCTGCGGACAAGTATTTACTGGGAGCTGTAGACGAATTTTTCTCATTCTCACCTATCTCCAGTTTCTAGGATAGTGCCTAGAGTTCAATAAATATTTGATGGGTTAACGGTGGATTTGATAGAGAAGTCCAGAGACGAAGACTAGCATGGAACGTTATCAAGATTGAAGTCATACACAAGAGGTAAAGTCCAGGAAGTCAACTAAAACAGAATTTTCCAATTTCAAAAATGTGGCAACATTTGGAAGTAGTGAAGAAATAGATGGAGCATTTTAGTACAGCTCTTAATCCAGTGTCTTCCAAAAACACCTGATTTCCTGTACATTTCTTCGGTGCAACAACTGAAGTAAACTAAACCACAATTTCCAACAGTGTCTGATACCAGACAAAAATACACGAAATATATACAATTATGACACAAAAAGGAATATGTATTTGCTCTCTGCCTCTGGTTCCTGGTACAGCGCTCCTAAAACCCTTGGTATTCTGAGTGATGGGGGTAAGGGGAGCATCTTGTTAGTCATAGCAAACCCCTTTCAACCTTACCTGAGTTATGCTAATGAGGTAACTCCAGGTGGCTTGGGACTGGCTCCCGGAGGAACCAACTAGGTCATTAGAGGATTGGAAGTTTCAGCCCCACTCTCCAACCTCTGAGGAGGGAAGAGGCCAGTGATTTAATCAATCACTCCTACATAATGAAGCCTCCATAAAAACCCTAAACAATGGGTTCCTAGAGCTTCCAGGTTGGTAAACACATCAGGGTGCTGTGAGGGAGGGTAGCACCCCAAAGGGCCTGGAAGCTCTGCACCCCTTCCACATACCTGACCTATGCACCTCTTCCATTGGGTTGGTCCTGAGTTGTATCCTTTACAATAAACCAGTAAATATAATAAACTGTTATTCTGAGATCTGTGAGCCATTCCAGCAAATTATCAAACCTAAGGAGGGGGTTGTGTGGACTACTGAGTCAGGTAGTCAAGTCAGAGAGAAGTGCAGGTGACAACCTGGGGACTTGCAATTGGCATCTGAAGTTGGGGGCAGCCTTGAAGGACTGAGTCCCTTAAGCTGTGGGGTCTAATTCCAGGTCGTTAATGCCAGAATTGAATTGAATTATTAGACACCCAGTTGGTGTCTGCAGAGAACTGGAGAATGGCTTGGTGTGGAAAATCTATACAGTTGGTGTCAGAAATGTTTTGTGAGTGTAGAGGAAACAGTTTTCCCACTTAGAACAACTTTGGGGTTGACATTTCTGCAAATAAAAATCTTTACATGGGGAGAGGTGTAGGAAACCAGGAAGGCATCGGAAGGTATCAGGCCCTGAGCTAAGCGCTTTACCTTCAACCTCTCATTGAATATCTTACCTCAACCCACAAAGTCAGCATCCTCTCCATTTTACACATGAGAAAGCCAGATAAACTGAGGTTTGGAACTGGAACATAAACCCAGGTCTGTTTAACTCCACAGCCCATGCTCCCAATTAATATGCCCCATCAGCTGGGTCGATTCAGGGCTGGACCAGAAACCAGGAATGTCAACAAAGAAGAAAGCAAGACAAGACCTTGCCAGACATTAGGGAGAAAGCATCCATTCCACAAAAATATATACACCATTCCAAGACAAAACCTTGCCAAGACAAAAACCCTTCTGTTCAGAATGACTGAAATACACAGATGCAATATGCATTATAATTATAAATGATCGACTCTCAGAGCTGAAAGTAACCATGGAGATTGCTCAGTCCCACCCCTTTACTGGAAAGATGAAGACACCAACCCTTACAGCCCAAAGTCCCACGATTAGAAAGAGAAGATGAACCCTGTCTTCCTTCTGTCCTTGGTACCTATTTAGCATGCAGATCCAAGTATTTCCAGCTTCTTCAAAAAACTGGGTAATTTTGCTATATGTTAAAAAATAGATGATGATTCTGTCTTATCACATTACTATAGAGGCAAAAATAATTCAATTATTAAAAGATAATGTTGTCCTGTGGGATGCCATGACACAGGATGGGGCACTGACTGACTCACCATAGTCATCAGTGAACTGAACTCTGCCAAGGGGGAGATTGTGAGAAATAGGGAGTTTTAACTCTTTCTAGTGCTCACGAATCAACAGAGCATCAGAAATTTGCATGCAGGTATGATTCCTAAGAGTCATATTCCTCTAGTAAAAACAGAAAACCAACAAAATTACCAAGAAAGAAATGAACAAGAGCCTTAATGAAGGAATCCCTTCACTGGGCTGCAGGTCTGAGATTCTGGTGCCATCCTGTAGTTCTCAAATCACAGGAAACAACAGTTATTTTATTTCCCTGCCTCTTTATCTAGTAAAACATTCCAAAGTATCTCAACCTAGTTCCAATCTTTGACAAAATTGAGAGTTTCCAATCTTTCAACATCACAGCCTACTTATGAACCTGGGTTACTTTGAATTTCAACTGAAGAAACAAAACCTGAGTTACTAAAATGATCATTATTGACACTGATGTCTATGCAAAGTCAATCTATGCTTTCAGTCACTAAGGTGAATTTTCATTTTTCTTACACAAAAATATGTCTATTATATCTTCATCGCTGCACTTATAACTCTGTGGTAGTTTCCGCATTATAAAATTAGCAATATGGATGATAGCAGTTTTTTTCAATTACTTTCCTGCTTGGAATGTTATTGTGTTTTTGTTTTTATTTCAAATTTTTTTTCAAGTAGAGACAGGGTCTCGCTGTCTTGCCCAGGCTGGTCTTGAACTCCTGGGCTCAAGTGATCTCCCCTCCTAGGCCTCCCGAAGTGCTGAGATTACACACATGAGCCACCGTGTCCGGCCTGGAATGTTAATGTTAAGCAGCTCAGATTCATTTGATTTTTACTGTCAGAGTATGGTAAACTAAGCGAAATCTATCAGGAAGTGAATACACCCCTGGGTCTCCTGATTTTCACACTCTTAGCTCAAGGACAATGCAGACATTTTAAATGTCATGGATAATTAGGCAGCCTCTTTACAAATAAGATTTCTTGCTCTGATATAATCACAAAGTTTGCCATTCTCAGGAATAGATGTACTCATTAGGAAGTGATCAGATGTAAAATATTTGTCCTGGAAAAAAGAGGCAGGTGAAGCGGTAAGGAGGATATAAACCCCACAGTGAGATGAACAGGTTCTTGACCTGGTTCAAAGTAATTCTAGTGAAGTCACTTTATTTTTGTTTTCTTAACTTAGGACCAAGGAGACACTCCCTGGTCCCTAAAATCCCACTCTACATCAACTATAGATAGACAAATTCAATTGAAACAAATGTTTTGCAGGTAACTTGAACTTTCAACTAAGCATCCACAGCTTTTCTTCTTTCCAAGACTGGTTTTTAAAGAAATTTCAGGGCTGTCCATAGACCTGCTGCTAGAAAAAGCTTGCCAATAAATAAAACGCCAACAAATAACCAGATGTAAGCTGAGAACTTTGTGATCAAAAAGATCTTAAATTTCCTTAATGGTACACATCATGTCACCAAAACATGTAGCAAATACCTACATGCAATTTTTAAGTCAATTCTGATATAGCATATGAAACAGTGACTTCTATAGCCATCAGGGTAAGTACTAAAACACAATCCTTTCCTCCCAAAGAAGAGGTGGATAACAACACACTCATGAAGCCAGCTCGCTGAACTCAAAGAAAATGTATCAACAAAAAGTTATCAAAGCTCAAGAATCTTTTAAAAAGCAATCGACTCTAGGATGCCATACCATAAGCATCTTGATTCAAATAATCATATTCTTTATCCTCCACCATATCCATCAGTGTGTTGTCAGTTACATCAGGTTTATTGAGTTGTCAAAGTGCATAATTTAGAACTATGGGAAATAAACCAATCCCCCACCAATGAATCAGCACCACCTGTCTGTCCTGAATTCTGTGAAGACTCTTCCAAGTCACAGGAGGTTCAAGGTTGGAACATTTCACCAGTACCAACTTTTTCAACACCATACTAGTACTACTCAATACATCTACCATTTGCAAAGATACAAGAGACTCATTGAATCAAACAGCAAACAGCACGTAATAAACTGAACAAGTCTTGAGAACCATTTCTCATTCTAAGGTCTCTATTGAGAAACAGGAGCTCCATCATGAACCTGCTTCATTTATGAAACTGGGTGAGGTTACAGCCCCCATCAATATGTCTCCAGACAAGACTCTGTACTAAGAGGAAGCTAAATTATTTAGGGCCATTTCCCAGACAAGAAGAATGATACAGGTTATTGAAAATAACTCAAAAACACAACAATCCTGATGACCAGAAGTTCCAGTTGTAACACTTCTGAGAGTGATGGCAGGAGCCCTGGGTGGGGACTAGGTTCTGCTCTGAGCACCCATTCCAGCATTGATTGACCTATGACCTGTGTAAACCAGTTCACTTCGTAAGTCTGGTCTGGAATCTAAAGAGGATGGCCTTTGCACAGAAGTATCTTGGGTCAAATTTCTGTACCTTTATTCTTCACACGAAAAGGGGAAAGAAGAAAGCAGTATTTGGGGAAAAGTTAAAGTCTTCTGCTGCTGAAACAGGAGATGAGCTAATGATACACAAGTGTGAGCATTCAGCCCTGGACCCTACCATGAAGAAGGAAACAAAGGAGCTCCTGACTTGAATGCATTCACTGAATCCATGGCCCAAGCCTCTGGGAAGCCTCCTGGCACCACACAAAGTCCACCATCCTCACATCCCCTCAGTCCCCTTCTGTCCTAGATCCTTGTGAACTAAGCCCTATTCTTCTTCGTCTCACCCTGCCTGCACGGACTGCCCAGACAGAGCTGGCATCTCTGAGGAGGCTTGATTTGAGATGAACAAATGCTTCTGATTTTAAAAAGGACAGATTTGAGGACTTTTCCACAGGCAGGCTCTCCTGAAACTTCAGTTCTCATCCTGAATTTTAAAACCATAATGTGACATTTTAACATATGGCAAAGAGAGATGAATTTGAGATCGTTTCAAACTGCTTAAAAGATCTGCATTAAACACAGATTTCCATTATTACAGATCTAATAGGTCCTATTCTCATCTGGGCTATCAGCAACAGAGTAAGTAATTACCATTCAACTTGGGCCCTTCCAGTCCATTAGCCCAATACTGATGACTCAGGAAAAGCTATACATGAGAACTAAATGCTGATAAAAGATAAAATGGAATGGAAGAAAATGATGCTGCCTTATCCCATTCTGCTACATCTATTGTAAGGAATGAATAAAAAATAAACAACTTGATGGAGTGATAAAGCCAAAAGTAAATATTAAAAACGGCGAATAGAGTTGTGGCTACCCACACAAAAGGAGAAAGTAAAATGCCCCCTTGGCATCACAGGTTTTGAAGACCCTTTGGTCCTCCGTGACAATGATTACCTATGTACAAGGACTGGATGGAAATGCTACCAAACATCTTCAAAGTGAAAAGCTTAAATAAGTCAGGTATTCATTCAACACACTAGCCAGTACGTAAGGCTCCATGCTAGGGGCTGTCAGTATAAATGTCAATGAGACATTATCCTCTTAATGAGATATTCAAGATAGTCATTTTAACCATACCCAAAGTGAGGGTATTTTCCACCCAGCATAATTACTTTTAAGATCATCAGACTAAAATTTGTCTTTAATCTGGAATCTCGGTTATCAATTAGTCAACACTTGTTGATCCTGTGTTACATTCTTGACACTTTGGGGAAAGCAAAAATAATGATCGTTGTGACTTGATAACAGCGTATGTTCCAACAGGGTAAACATGTTCCAATTGCGGAGATAAGACCAATATACTTCAAAAAGGGAACACTGAGCATATACGGTTACATGCTAAATTGTGTAGCAGAGATTATCGATTCTAGAGGAAGTCAAATAAAACAATGGAATGACCGAGACAGGCTGGGAAGGTTTCAGGGAAGGGATGCAGTGTGACCATCGTGGCATCTCATGAGTGCCAGGTGCTCCAAGATGGTGAAGTGACCGGGACGGCCATAGTAGAGGAGGGTGAGTGCAGAAAAGTTGTGGGAAAGGGGCTAGACAGGTAGAGTAGAACCAGAAATGTGGATGGTGAATCATGTTCGGGTAGATCACAAGGGACGGATGAGTCAGAGAACGTCAGGGGCTATAGGAATTAAGTTCAGAAGTGATGGCTGTGTGGATTAACAGGGAAAGGGGCAAGATCGGCAAGGCTGTGAAGGGAAGCTGAAGGCAGCCTGTCTGGGGAGATGAGATCTATTGACAGACACCAGAGGACAGAATAAAATGCCATTTGAAGAGATGAAAGTGAAGAGTTTGTTTTTTGACAAAGAAACTCAGCGTCGGAGGGCATCTCTGAGGTCAGCTCATGGACTCCTCCAGTTGGATGTCTGAGTGCAGCACGCTGAGCCGGAGGTGACAGAGATAGCAGTAGACACGTCTAACCAGCAATGAAAGATGGAGCAAGAGGGCGGATGGGGACAAGACTGCAGACAGGCTGGGGAGTCTGCTCCAGAGGGGTGAAAACAGAGACTGGGGGCCTGGATGAGCTCAGGGTAGGAAGCTGAGAGAGTGCGAAGAACGTAGGACTGCAGGCTGGGGCCTGAGCTCACAGAGGGGAGGTGAGCTGGGAAGTCATGGGAGAAGAGGCCTCCAGTGGACGCAGCAAGAGAACCAAGACAGTGCCACAAGACCCAAGACAGAAGGGTTGTGGGAAAAGCATGGTTGCGTGACACCAAACACATAGACTTGCTCCCGGGAAGCCTCCTGGGCTCCTCCATCCCGAGTCCACCCCTAGCCATGCCTTCGCTCACCTGCACGCCATCTGCTCGGCTCACCTTCTCTTTTCTAGCTGTCAGCAAGCTCCTCTATCTGTGTCCTTCATATCTTCTCTCTCTTTACAAAGTTGGAAGCAGGCTCCCCTCTCCTACCTCTCCACACCCTCACCAAAATATCCAGGAACAAATACTCAAATCCCTGTTTGGAATGTGCAGACAGCTAAGGCTGCTTCTAACCTCCTTCCCCGAAACCTTCCCTCCATTACTGGTCTAATTGGCACATTCCCTAACCTCTGCCCCTCCACTAATACTTTGCCATCAGCCAGAGTTCCAAGCTAGAAGATACCATGTAGACACGAGTCCTCACATCTTGTCTTGTCTTAGAAATCTGCCCAGGCCCACCCACCTCAATGTGGATGCTGACCTCAGCCAACCAAACCCACAGCACGCTGGGACCATTAGCCCAGGTCCTCAGTCTTCCGTGCAGTCCAGGTGTGTCTTTATGCAGCAGACAAATGCTGCCTGGTGTGAATTAAATGTTAATGTAGTCATTTGCAATTGCAAATGCCTAAGATGGGACAGACTAGGCACACAGATGACTGCAGGAGAAACCAAAAGAGTGACAAGAAAACAGTGACAAAGAAGGGGCTGCAGATTGAGTTAATCAAGGCAGGATTTGGAAGACAACATCTTGAAAAGTTGAGCCTGGCTGCAAGCCCGGAAAAGAGACAAGCGGAAAGATTCCTGGGCATGGGGCCCAAGGAGTGCTGAGCATACGTTTGAGGTGTCAGGGAGATGCCTGGAGAACAGTTGTAGCCTCGATTTATGGGCAATGCCTAAAACCAGCCAGAGGAGGCCGATTCCTTCAGGGTTCAGGATTCACGGAAAGAAGACTTGGCCCAGTATAGATGCAAGGTGAGGCTAACTATTGAAACACGAGCCCTCTCTTTGGCTTGACAAAGTTAAATCATGACGCCAAGCCGTTTCGATTTGTCTGGTCTTCACCCCCAGATTCTTCACCAGAGCGATTCCTTGATTTCACAGTAACTGGGTGTGATATTGCTGACACAATTTTTCATCTTTTACATGGCAGAGAACAAAGGCTGCAGGCAGACACGGAGAGCCTTCGGCTCAGAGGGGCCCTGGCATTTAACCGCCTTCTCACTGTAAAGCTAAAGATCACATAGTCGAACCAAAAGCACTAAGATTTTAAATAAAACAGTTTGTATTAAGGAAGACTTTGAACAGAAAAAGGGCTGTAAGACCCAGATTGCTGTGAGAAAAAGGTGGCCCTCCAGAAGTGTGCTATTTTAAATGGTCTTTATACATGCTTTCTCTTTCTCTCCACCTAGAATATTCTTCTTCCCTATCCTCTCCCTGCTTCACCTCCTCACTTTGCTCCAATCTGTGTCATGGTTATTTCCACTCGGTGTTATGCTGAGAATGACTGGTCCCATCTGTCCCCTTCTCACACATAACCTCTTTAAGACTCACTTTCATCTTTGTAACACAGCACCTATGCGTGGCACATAATCGGTTCTTGGTATGCATGGCCCAACAAATGAATCAAGATCCGAGTAAGCGAAGGGGTGAGCTACAGGCAACCTGAGTCCCTGCTGCCCAGTGACCTGGCCTCCTTTCCCATCTCTGGTGAGTCCACTATCCCCATCATGGGAGACTTTGGGCCCTAGATTCTTAGAAGTTCACTCCAACTTCCAATTGGTATTTACAATATCAAGTGGAGCCATTTCTTTTGCCCCCTTAAGACTGAGTTCTAAGTCTATCTTTTATTTTTAGGTCAAATATTCCCTCCATTACTGGTCTAATTGGCATATTCCCTAACCTCCGCCCCTACGCTAATACTCTGCCATCAGCCAGAGTTCCAAGCTAGAAACCTGCGTCCCCTTTGCCTCCCCCTCCCCTGCCCTGCTACTTCCACTGACCACAGCTGGACTCTTCCGCTCAAGCTTCAGAGACAGCGCCAGAATGAAGCCCAGGAGCCATGTCCTTCCTACCAGTCCCATCTTTTCTGGCTTTTGCCACCCCTCCAACCCCATCAGCACCTCCCAAGGCCTCCTAAATGGCATTCCTTTGCTGATCTGGAATCCATGAGCTCCTGTAGCAGCCCAGTATCATACCCCATGCAGGGTGACACACACCAACCCATACTCCCGTGACCAGATCCCACTGCCTTTGTCCGTCACTCCCTTTCCACACATTGGCATGGAGGGAGCATGCATCTGTAGTTCTGCCACCCTGCCATTCCTGACCCCGGCTACAATGGAGGCTCCTCCTAGTCCCCATGGAAATCTGGGAGTGAGTATATTAGTTTCTATGTCTTGTTATTACTATGATATATGGGATATTACCTATATACCCCCATCTCATAACCTAAGTTCCTCTGGTTCCATTACCTACTTCAGATACTTCAGACTTCACATAGTGCATTCTCTCATCTATTAAGAGGCACATAAACAGCTTATAACATTACACAAGAAATGCTTGGGCAAATCTAAACAACAGAAATAATACTTTCTGATTTCAAGCAGTTGTTAACAGAATTATTAGAATGCTATTACAATGACTGATACTTTGTACAAATTCCACTACCACCTAAACAAACTGCAAAGACATTTTAAAGATGATGTTCAAAGTGTTTACACATGGTTGAGTTGATGATTTAGCTTTTTCCAGTAATATAATCTTTAGGTAATTAACTGGGTAAGTCCGTATCAGTCGTTTGCTGTGGTTGCCTGTGCTATCAAATGTGCAGCAACTTGGTCACTGAGGGAAGGGCAATGCTGACAAATTAAAAAGTATATTTCTTCTTACATTTTACTCAGTAGTAACAGTTACTTGATGTCTTATCATCAAAGGTGTAAGGCCCTTGTTTTCTCTCACGGAAACTAAAAGGTGAAAATTTGATCAGAATTCCTGCTACAAATACAAGAAAATGTAGAGAGCTGTTCATTTCCTTAAAGCTCTGTTAAAAAAAAAAAAAAAAAGTACAGTTTAAATTGGGATAGTGCTCTTAAAATGTCAGGTCTGTCACTACTTTTTTCAGGACTAGGGAGTGTACAGGAATAAGAACAGACTAAGAGGAATGGCACATAGAAGAGAAAGACAAAGTATTTCTAAAACATATTCAAACTCACTCCCAACCAGCAGCATTCTAACCAGACTACATCTGGCCCAGCTTCTCTTTCTCTACCATTCAGCAAAATGTTAAAGGTATAGGAGGAAAGTCAGTTGCAAGTCTTTAGCCTTCCCATCCATGTGCCAAAAATAAAAGTAAAAATGACAGTGCTCTCAAAAGACCTACAGCTGGCATCATTCTTCATGGTGAAAAACTGACTGCTTTCCCCTCGGATCAAGAGCTAGGGGAAGATATCCACTCTCACCACGCCTATGCAACATCATGCTGGAGAGCCTAGCTAGCACAATAAGAAAAGGAAGTAAAATTCATTGAGATAGCAAAGGAAGAAATCAGCTATCATTATTCGCAGAAGACATGATCATCTATGTCTTAGCCAACTTGGGCTGATTGGACAGAGTACCATAAAAATGGATGGCTCATAAACAACAGTATAGTTGTCCCTCAGTTCCTGCAAGGGGTTGGTTCCAAAACCCCATAGGTAGCAAAATCTGAGGATGCCCAAGTCCCTGACATAAAATGGCACAGTATAAGCATGTAACCTATGCACATCCTCCCATATACTTTAAATCATCTCTAGATGACTTACAATACCTAATACAATGTAAATGCTTTGCAAATGGTTGATACACTGTATTTTTGTGTTTTTTTTAAAAACATTTTTGATCCAAGTTTCGTTGAATCCACTGATGCAGAACTGACAGACATGGAGGGCCAAGAGTCATTTATTCCTCACAATTCTGGAGGCTGGGAAGTCCAAAACCAAGGCACCAGCAGATTCAGTGTCTGCTGAGGACCTGCTTCCTAATTCATAGATGGCTATCTTCTCACTGTGTTCTCACATCACAGAAGGCGCAAGGCAGCTCTCTGGGGCCTTTCTTATAAGAGCACTAACTCCATGCCTAAGGGCTCCACCCTTATGACTTAATCATCTCCCGAGGCCCCACTTCCTGATATCATCACATTGGAGATTAGGTTTCTACATATGAATTTGGAGGGAGACAAGCATTGTCCATATAGAAAATACCAAGGAAGGCCCGGCACAGTGGCTCACGTCTGTAATCCCAGCACTTTGGGAGGCCAAAGTGGGCAGATCACCTGAGGTCAGGAGTTCAAGACTACCTGACTAACATGGTGAAACCCTGTCTCTACTTAAAAAAAAAAAAAAAAAAAAAAAATATTAGCCAGGCGTAGTGGTAGACACTTGAGCCCAGGAGGTAGAAGTTGCAGTGAGCCAAGATTGCGTCACTGTACTCTAGCCTGGGTGACAAGAGTGAAACTCCGTCTCAAAAAAAAAAAAAAAGAAAGAAAGAAAATACCAAGGAATGGGCAAAAAAGTTACAAGAACAAATAAGTGAGCTTAATGGGTCTCAGAAGACAAGGTCAACATACAAAACTTATTAAAACAAATTATTAAAAAATAAAATTATTAAAAACAAATGTTATGTACTAATGATGAATGGTTAGGAATTTTTCAGTTTTTAAGGTATCATTTACAATAGCATCAGACAAAATGAAATGCTTGGGAATGAACATGGGCAAGATTTGTCTTTTCATTTTTCTGAACAATGTTTTTGAATAACATTTTCATTTTATGAAGTCCAATCTATCATTTTCTTTTATGGCTTCTGGTTTTTGTGTCTTATCTAAGAATCACTTGCCTAACACAAAGTCACAGAGATTTTTGCCAATGTTTTCTTCACGAAGTTTGATGGTTTTATGTTTTACACCTAGGTTTATGATCCACTTTGAGTTAATTTCATACAGGGTGCAAGGTACATAGCTCTAAAATAAGCAAACAGTAATAAATGAAAGTGGCAGTAACACACAGGGAACTGAGAAACAGGCAAGAATCAGAGCACATACTCACACAGCTGAATACCCCTTCCTGCGAAACTTCCCTCAGTTAAGGCAAGTATTGTGCTTTCTTCATGAAGAAATGCAGGTTGGTAACAATGTTAAGGCTTTGGCCAATTTTCCTATTGTGTAAATTCTTCAGCTGGCCCATTAGACCAATGAAGGGGTGAGGGAGTACCAAGCACAGCCACAGATCAGGAGTCTGCCCCTGTCTCTGGACATCATCACACTGATGTCCTAGAAGGTTTTCATAACTGTGCCAACTTGAGAATTTGGAAAAGAGAGCTATCTCCTGCCAGCATGAGAGAAGGTTATGGGGAAAATCATACGAATGCAAAAGTACTTATAACATTCCCCTCATGAGGTTCTACCTCAAGACCTGCCCGTGCCTCATAGTGATTAGTAACAACTCAATCTTTATATCATGAGTATCTACACATGCCTGAAAATCAACTGGAATTATCTGTGACTGGAAACAATATATCAGGTGTATTGATACATATTTAGCATGTTCAAGATGTCCTAGACTTCCAAATTTATGATTTACTTTAGTGAAGCCTACATGGTCAGTTTTTGGGAGTGTGGAAGGAAGGATTCCTGCAAGGATGGGAGGCTGGGCTGTGAGAGCTCAAATCCCCGCAAGGGATGGGCACTTCTGAAAACAGAAGTGTGGTCGAATCCCAGCTGAGTCACTTACTAGCTATGTGACATTGGGCCAGTTGCTTCCCTTCTCTGAGCTTCACTTTCTTGATCTGTAAAATAGACTACAACTCATTATCGTATAGGGGTTTTGCTACTAGGTTTAAATGGTACTGTTTAAATATTAAATCAATGCTACTTCCCTCCTCCCTACTTTCCAAAAACCACATTTATACACTAAAATTTTATTAAAAATTATTTGTGTGCCAGGCTGCCACATTCTGCATGGAGTGGAAGGAAGAACAGTGGCTGTGCTGGAGATGCCCAGTGACATCTGAGTTGGCCAGGGATGATAGCACACCAGCGACGTGGAAGACCAGGATAATACAGTCATCTATAGAGAGAGATACTGTTTAGAAGACTGGGAATTCCACATATAAAACAACACAAGGTTTTAGAACCAAGATTATTAATAAAGTAATAGTAGTTAACATGTATGTGCCTGATGCTGTATTAATGATTTTACATGTATTAACACACTTGATATGCTCACAATTATCCTACAAGGTAGACACTTTTATTATCTCCATTTTACAGATAGGAAAACTAAGGCACAAGGAGCATAGGGACTTGCCCAAGGACACAAAGCTAGTAAGTAACATAGATGAGATTGCAACCCAAACTGTTGGGTTCCAGAATCCCTACTGCCTCATAAAGATCAGAAACAGTCAAGAAGTGCCATGCCCAAGTCCTAACAGAGCTTCTCCATTCCTGGCCACCCATGTGCCTCTCTTCCGCGGTCCATTTTCTTAAATAACATCAGGGTATAGGGCCTTCTAGGGCAGTGGCAATGTTTTTTTCCTTAGGGGTGGGGGTAGTTACATGGGTTTCTATAATTATTAAGTTTTATGTACCCTTCTGTTTGTACATCTCACTATGAGAGAAAGTGGATCAGCATTCATGCATGGACCCAACTCTCCAGGCTTTTGACATCATGGAGGTTTCACGTTCAGCCGTCCCTAAGATGAACCTAAGACACAGCACAAAGGTTAGGATGTAGGGGAGCAAAAGATGCTAAGTACGCTCCTCCCCTGCCTCCTCTGCAGTCCTTTGAATTTGCATGCTAGAATTACTAGAGCAAAAGCTCAGCTAATCTCCTGGCTGGCGTGATTGTTATTATCATGCGGCGCACACAGGCATATTCATCCAGATTTAAAGGGAAGAAATAAGCCTCCCTCATGGCACTGCTGATAAACAACCCCCCAAACTCTTTTCCCTATACTCAAACCAAACACATCTGAAGCCTTGTCATACTTAAAAGTGATTTGCCCTAAGTCTTTTACATGTTAATAACACTGTGCATTGAATACTTCATTCCCAAGATCATTATGTGATTGGTTTCCATGTGATTTTCAGCACAACAGAAATGGACAGAGCAGTATCGGCTGCCTTTGGACACCAATCTCCAGTTAAAGCTCACAACACTGACATCAGAACATGCAGAACTCAGCTGCAGTGGGAGCCCGGCCACGTTAGTCAAGCTCACTTGTTTCCAGACAAAACATTTTAATTCCTGGCATGGGAGAGGGGACCTGGGGAAGCAGTGTTGGAAGAGAATGGAGAGGAGGGAAGAAGAAGAGGGGAGAATGAAAAGGGCATCATTAGCCCAGCGCCAAGATATTTGGCTCTGCACTTTGCTCCAGCTCTTGTAAACTGACTTCTCCATGTCACCTCATCCTCTTCTCATAGGTTGGGTGAATACAGCCAGTTGTTTCTCAACCCTAGGAATACACTAGACCCATCATGGCTCCCGAGCAGAGGGCCTGATTTAATTAGGGGTATGGGGGCATCAGTCCCAGATGATGCTAAGATGCTTCCAGGGTTGCAATTCTGGGGTAAGTCCATGGGCTCTGCTGACAGATGAGGGCCAGGGAGGCCACACACCTAGAAATGGGCAAAACCACCAACAAGCAAGGGCCCAGCTAAGATGGTAAAAATGTCACAGAGTTGTAAAAGTATGATCAAGTGAATGAGTGAGCTTGGGTAATACAAGAGGCTGGAGGGAAAAATGCAGATCCCCAGCCCACAGAATGCAAAGCTGAAGAATGAGACAAAGTCGCTTGTTATATAATTCTCCAACACACAAACACACATGCATACACAAACAACCCCATACAAATGCACATGCACACACACATATGCACACACACACAAATGCACATACACACATATGCATGCACACACATATGTAGTCATGTAAATATAACATATGTAGTCACACAAATGCATACACACGCACAGACATATGCAAACACATACACACATATGAGCACACACTATCATACAAATGCATACACGTGCATGCAGTTATGCAAACACAAAAACACACATGCACATACACACCATTATGCCAAAATGCACTCCTGTACATTTCAACCTTACAGATAATTTCATTAATAATATTCTGAGTTCATTCTCCCCTGCTACCTGAGAAACCAAAAGCTCCAAAACTTCTAAAGAAGCCTGTCACCAACACCATCACCACTACCATACCCACCCACCTCATACCCAGTGTGAGACTGCCCTGGCTCTCCAGAGTGAAGCTGGGATCACTGCTGCTCACACACCTTTGACCTTACCAGCCCCGGGTTTCATTCGCTGCCTTGAGGGTCCATCCTGTGCCCACACGGTCTTGGGTACCTTGTGCACTGGACACAGATGTTTTACGCCCAGACTCTGGAATCACTGCCAAGTTCAAATCCCAGCTATTCCAGGGACCAGGCCAGTCTGCTTGGCTTCTCTGTGCCTCGATTTCCTCCTCAGTATAAGACAGGTGATAAGGTAACTGCTCACAGAGTTATTTAACACGTTTTAAAACTGAGAATGGTGTTTGACACATAGGAAGCATTTATTTGTCAGCAAGCTTTTCACCCGTGCTGCAATCCTGAGGAGGACTCTGCAATGCCTCCAATTGGCAGATGGGGAAACTGAGGCTCAGATTCCAGCTACAATGTCCACGTGTATACTCTCCCACTTACAAGACTATGTGTCCTGATTTGGGGGTTAGGACGTAGACTCGGTCTACAGAGATATCATGGCTTTTTCATTTTATCAGGAAATTGAAGCCACCTGGGCACAGACTGCCACTCATTTTCTGGCAGGTGACCCAGGTACCAACGTGCTGCTGTCCCCTCTCCCCACCCAGCCTGGTCTTAGCCCCCTTGCCTGTCTTTAGTCTCCATTTGTCAGGAAGCCATTAGAAAACAATTATCTAAAATTTTGTTTGACTGCAGTTCCAAAGTTCTGTTCTGGCCTAAGCTTGGGTTTTTAATCGGAAACTCAGTTTTTTGTTTGTTTGTTTGTTTGTTTGTTTGTTTTTTAAAAAAAGAATAGAAGCACTTAAGCCAGAGAAAGTAGCTATATTGTTGGAGAGCAGAGTGGTTGTTCTTATTAAATTTAATGTAAAACAAAGGCATTATATTGTAATGATATTAACTCTAATTAGAAGCCAGCAGCTCAAAACGTATAAAGCAAAAAGGCGGCCAGCTGTATTCTTCTAAGAGCTGATCTTCTCAACCTAGGCCGCACATTAGAATTACCTGGGGAGCCTTTTTAAAATATTAACACCCGGACTTCACTCTCCAAGAGTCTGATTTAATTGGTCTAGGATGCAGCCCAGACATCAATACAGTTTTTTGTGTTGTTTTTTCACTCTGTCGCCCAGGGTGGAGTGCAGTGGCATGATCGTGGCTCACTGCAACCTCCACCTCCCAGGTTCAAGTGATTCTCCTGCCTCAGCCTCCTGAGTAGCTGGGAATACAGGCGTCTGCGACAACACCAGGCTAATTTTTATATTTTTAGTAGAGACAGGGTTTCACTATGTTGGTCAGGCTGGTCTCGAACTCCTGACCTTGTGATCCACCGCCTAGGTCTCCCAAAGTGCTGGGATTACAGGCTTGAGCCACTGGCTCAGGTGATTTTTAAGTGCAGCCCAGGGTTGAGGGTGACTATTCTACAGGGAAAGGAAACTAACATTTTTTAAAGTCCTTCTACGTCCTAGGCATTATACTCTGCTTTCAAATATAGTATATTATTAACAATAAGCATAAAAAGTCTATTAGGATTTGGGTACAAGTATGTAATCCCAAGAGTTTTCCCATTCTCTGTGACATTGGGTTGTTTATTAAATATTTAATTTTTTCTTCGGCCTATTCAGGAGTCCTAGAGAGGAAGGAAGGGGTCAAAACCAGCACAGCCTAAAACTTCTAAAAAGCTCAGGAAGCTAACGAGGGCCATTCCTTTGCACCGAACAGCATTAGCTTGGAGAAACCCAGCCAGCAGCCAAGGGAAGGGATCTGCTGCCAAAATACACGACAGCCCCAGGCGATACGCAGCCCTCGGAGGGATTTTTCACCTAGGAAGGATTTACAGGAAATTTAACAGGAACATTTTAATCAAGAAATGAGGTCAGGACAGATAAGACTAGGATAACATTAAACTGTGAATGGCAATCGTTCATGACTGGTGAGAATGATACCTGCTAACACCTTAGACTTTTCTCTTTAGGTCCAGTTAAAAGTAGTATTCTGCAATAAAACGCTAGCTGTGTAAGTATGCGGTTTTAAAAAGAAAGACAGATTAACAGGAGAACAGAAAAGAAAAACTTAAGAGAAGGACCTAAAGAATCAAGTACAAGATAAGACAGGCTAAGAGAATTTCTTCTTACATTTCCAGGGGTGGGCCCAACATTATTACTGTCCCTTGTGGACTCAGAATATGGAGACAGAAAGGCTGGTTCTAGATGACACGTAGCATGTTCAGCTGTGGGCCAGCAACAGCCGACAATGCCGACTGGGGCAAAGGGCGGAGGGGCCACACTGGTCTGTGCCCTCGTCTGCCACACCAGCATGCGGTGTCCATCTGGGTAGGGCCTGTGGCCCCCTTGGAGGGTCTTACCCCAGCCATCCTCCCCTTTGATGACGCCTCTGGCTGCCATGTTATCCTTCCTTCACTCTTATCGATAAATAGACGGTCCTTTGATCTCGGCTGTCATTATCGTGCAGTAGAATTCTGTTTCCACCCAATGCCATACTGATTTCACATTTCATCTTGCATCTTCCAGACATGTGCTGGCTTTATCTGACTTTCCAGCGTGGGGCAGAAACAGGAATTTTTCTCTACGAAGGCACAAGGTGTGATGCCCTCCCAAGGTGAAGGGCAGAATGACTAGCTGATGTCAGTGAGGAACGGCCTCCGGGCAGATGAAACGGGCCAAGCAGCGGCAGCTGATTAACAGTGGGTGCGCCAGTCCACACACTGGCCTCATTTCCTTCTCATAGCAGCCCATAAGGTGGGTGCCGTTTAGAAAGAGAAGACAATGGAAGGTGACCGGCCACCATGACATGTCTACCCTACATTCTCAGCACACCTGCTTCAAATCCTACAGCGTGGTCTGAGTCGGCGGGGGCTGCTATAACGAACTGCCACAGACTGGGTGGCTTATGAACACCACAAGTGTATTTCTCATGGTTCTGAGGCTGGAAGTCCAAGATCAAGGTGCCAGCATGGTCAGGCTCTGGTACAAGCCCGCTTCTGGACTACAGTTGGTCAACCTCCCATTGTGTCCTCCCATGGTGCAAAGAGGTCCCTTTCAGGCAGGCACTAAGGCTCTTGGTCCCATTCATGAGGGTCGCACTCTCGTAACAAATCACCTCCCAGAGCCCCCTCCCCAAATACTAACTTACGAATTTGTGGGCTAGGATTTCAACCTAGGAATTTGGAGAGGTGCAAACTTTAAGACCACAGGAGGCCCCATGATATTCCGTGAACCCACCTTTACACACGACTGTCGTGGCTGAGGCGGGGAGGGCTCCAATGAGTTCTCCCACCTATGACCTGTGTGGCCTTGGGCAAGCCACTGTGACCCTTGGTTTCCCCATCTACAAATGGTAATGGTTTCAGTGCCTACCTCTTAGGGAATCATAAGCACTAAATGAGATGGTATAGTAAGGCACAGAGCTACAGATTTCCCCTTCAGTGCCTACCTCTTAAGAAATCGTGGGCACTAAATGAGATGGTATAGTAAAATAGTAAGGCACAGAGCTACGGGTTTCCCCTGTGCCACAGTTTGACAGGCCCCCTGGACCCCCATGGTAGCCCCCACTGACGGCCGCCAGTCCTCCTCCCGTCACCTGCCCCACTCAACAGGGGGTGCCCATCAGTGCCATCAGAACAGGCACCCCCAGAAATCAAAGGCTTTGAATTAAAGGAGAAGCACAGTTGGCACTCAATGTAGGTTAAACACCCTTCGTGGTAGCAGTCAGGTTCTGGTGAGAACATTTTTCTGGGCTACAGATGGCCAGACTCCCATTTCGTCCTCCCATGGTGCAAGGAGAGAAAGAGACATCTCTGGAGTCCCTTTTATAAGGCCACCAATCCCATTCATGAAGGGTCTGACCACTCACCAGACTCCCAAAGCCTTGATTCTGCAAGTACCCTGTCCAAAATAAAAATAAATAAGAGCCTTGGCTCAGAGTGGCAGGAGTTACTCCAGCACTGTTCCACCGCAGACCACTCCCCTGTCTCAGGCCCAACTCCGTCACTTTGTTTATTCTCTCTAATCACCTCCCATCGGAATTCCTACGGCCCTGCTTCAAAGTGTCACGGGCTGTGTCTCACAGAATCTAGGACATGAGGGAAGCGAGGGGCGGCGTCCTGTGGGCACCTGCTGCGAGCTGGGATCCGCACAGGACCATGCAGTGCGCTCTTGTATTCAGACCTCCGGACCACCCTGTAACAAGTGGGCAAAACAAGTGGTGTATTCCCATTTTAAAGACAAAGTGTCAGAGGCGGGGAGAGATGGGGTGACTTGCCCAGGGCCCATGGTTATCAGGGGCAGGGCGGGATTCACGAAGGTCCCACTCCAAAGCTGAAGTGGCCTTGGAGAGCCACAGTCCTGTTCCATCGCTGCCCAGATGCAGACACCCCGAGACCCAAGGAAGGTCAGCCTGGCTTCAGCTCTGACCCCAGATGCAGAACCCGGGTCTCCTGCATTCTCTCCAGCTCACCACGTTCTCACTTCATCCGCCTCTTCTTACCAAAAAGGACTTTCAGTATCACCATTTGTTGAGATTGTATAAAAGGAGGCAAAGGAGGCTCTCCTAAGAGACCAAAGCATTTCCCAAAATTGTTTTCTAGAAGAACAACTTAATTTTTTCCTTCTTCTTCACACCAACCAGTTCAAGCTGCATAAAACCTGCCCTACTTAGCGCTTCTATGGAAGGTTGGGCCTTTGCACAGGGTAAATCAAATTCAGCAGTGCTTGGGGACTCATCACCCAAGTACCTAATGAAGATAATCCATCAGCACTGCAGCAACTTTATTGTGCCATTCCTGCCCAAGGAAACAGCAAAAACAGCCAGGGGGTTGGGGGATAGCCACCAGGAATTAAATGGGGAAACAGATGATATTTAATTATATAAATATTCTCAGCAATGCTCTGAGGAATGGAATTATTGGCTTGCTGGGCAGCCCCTCATTGAACCAGGCGGCAAAGGAGATTTATACCACAGAGCTGATGTTTTCATTAGAATTCACACAGACCGTATTTAGAAAGTGGATATCTGGAAGCTTGATAATATTGTGTGTTCATAATCTGACACTGTAATATAGTGGCTTTAAAAAGAGGAGGGGAGGCTCTCGCCTTATTCATTTGATATTTACATTTTATTAGTGTTATTATTTGGCATAATTACAAAGAATTAGCAATGTTAATTAATGCTGCACTAATGCAGTCATAATTACTTGCATTTATTCTAGAACATAAGTAAATTTATAAATTTATTTATTTGGAACTCAAGTCACTTCTTGGATTCATGTTTTTTAAAAATGAAATCTCGGCCGGGTACGATGGCTCATGCCTGTAATCCCAGCACTTTGGGAGGCCAAGGGGTGTGGATCACGAGGTCAGGAGTTCAAGATCTGCCTGGCCAAGATGGTGAAATCCTGTCTCTACTAAAAATACAAAAATTAGCCAGGTGTGGTAGCAGTCACCTGTAATCCCAGCTACTCGGGAGGCTGACGCAGAATTGCTTGAACCTGGGTGGCAGAGGTTGCAGTGAGAATAGGATCCTCCTGCTAAATTCATGAAACGGAAAAAATAAAACTGTTTTAAGGACGTGTCATGGATTCATCCTATCTATAGAGATCTATATAGATTTTTTTTTTTTTTTAGATGGAGTCTCGCTCTGTTGCCCAGGCTAGAGTGCGGTGGCACCATCTTGGCTCACTGCAACCTCTGCCTCCTGGGTTCAAACGATTCTCCGGCCTTAGCCTCCCAAGTAGCTGGGACTACAGGGGCCCACCACCACGCCTGGCTAATTTTTTGTGTTTTTAGTAGAGACGGAGTTTAACTGTGTTAGCCAGGATGGTCTTTGATCTCCTGACCTCGTGATCTGCCCACCTCAGCCTCCCAAAGTGCTGAGCAGGTGTGAGCCACTGTGCCTGGCCCCATCCTATCTATATTTCTAATCACCTGTTGGGGCTGTATGATTATCATTTTTAACCCACTTCCACTGTAATGAAGCTGAATTAAGTGGCCCGAGGGAAATTTCAAATGGACTTCTTTGCACATCTTCAACTGACAAAGTGTAAAAAATGAAAAGAAGAAAAGCACTTGATCTCAACACCCTGCTAAGAATTATATAGACCACTTTTCTAAAGGGTTTTTTAAAGATTTCATGTTATAAAAGTATCTTCCTGGGGAAAACCAAAGGAAACTTTATAAGTCGTTTCTTCCTAACTTAACAGACAAAATTCCAGTAAGAATTAATAATCCAAAATTAGGCATGTATCTCAAAAACATAAAAACCTGTAGGAACCACTTAAATGGGTTAGATATTTAGAGATTGTTTTCTATCACTGTACCTCTTCATGACATATGGTCCACCCACCATTTAAATCTAAACAGCATGTTAAGATTGTTGCTGGAAATGAAGACTTAAGAGATAATGCCAATCAAATTCTGCCTTACAAGAGGCAACCCCCTCCCCTCTCCCCACTGCAATACACAAAATTTACTTTACTAGAAAGCCTTGTAAAGTGCTTTGACAGAGATGTTATCCTGCAACAAATTTCAATAAAGTGAAGGAAATGTTGTTCTTTAACTGTATTCCATATTGAGTAAAAAACTGTACTTCCATGCATTTTTCTAAAAGGGCAAAAGCATCACAAAGCTCCAGAAGTAAGAGGTAAGCTCAAATATCCTAGTTTCCTCTCACTCTCCAACCTCAGCCATTCCCAGTTCTGGAGATACTGCTGATATATATTAACAATTCCCAAATGTCTGCCTCCAGCCCAGAGACCACTCCTGATCTCCTCTCTTGATAGTAAATGCAAACTCAACCCCTCCAGATCTGCACACACCACTCTCCACTACCCACCCTGCTCTGTCCCCTCTGTCAATGGATGGCCTCACGCAGGTGCCCAGGCAGGAAATGCAGTTTCAGCGCTCCCCAATCCTCACATCTGACCAATCACAAATTCTTACGGACAGTATTTCTAGATTCCCCTGTAATCCACTCACTTCTCACCATTCTTACTGCCACTACCTTGGCCTGTCTGCTGCCATCCATCATCTGGTATCTGGTAATCTGCCTGCACCTCTCTCATCCATCCTCTTTGATACGGTGACAGTGATCTTCCTAAAATCTAAATGAGATCATGCCATTTCATCCCTAAAACCCTCCAATGGCTATTGGTGAAATACAAATCAAAATTACAATGAGATAACATTTCACACGCAGTAGAGTGGCTATAATCAAAAACACAGACAACAGCAAGCGTTGGAGAGGATGTGGATAAACTGGAATCCTCTGCAGGTGGGACTGAAAAATAGCACACCTACTTTAGAAAACAGTGTGGAAGTTCCTCAAAATGTTAAATGCAGAGTCACCATATGACCCAGCAATTCCATTCCTAGATACATATCTAAGACAAAGGAAAACGTGTCTACACAAAAAAAACTGTACACAAATATTCACAGCATCATTATTCACAATAGACAAAAAGTAGAAACAACCCAAATGTCTGTCAACTGATGAATACATAAAATGTGGTGTCTCCATACAATTATGGATACATCCATGCAATGGAAGATGACCAGCAATCAAAGGGACTGAAGCACTGATGCATGCTACAACACAGATGAATCCTGAAAACTTATGCTAGTGAAAGAAGCCAATAGGCCACATATTATCTGATTCCACCTATGTAAAGTATCCAAAATTGACAAATCTATAGACACAGAAAGTAGATTATTGTGCCGATAGCTGGGGGAGTGTTGGGAAGAAGTGAGGAATGTCTGCTGACAGCTATGGGGCCTCTTTTTGAGGTAATGCAAACGTTTTAAAATTGACTGTGGTGATGGTTGCACAACTGTCTGACTGCAGTTCATACCCATTTGCTACGGTCTGAATGTTTACGTCCTCTTGAAGTCCAGATGTTGACATCTTTCCTCACAATGTGACAGTATTAGGAGGTGGAGCCTTGGGGGTTATTAGTCAGTCATGAGGATGGGGCCCTAATGGATGGGATTAGTGCCCTTATAAAAGAGGCCCTTCCAGCATGTGAGGACACCGTAAGAAGGTGCCATCTATGAAGCAGGAAGTGTGCCCTCATCAGACACCAAATCTGCTGGCTCCTTGATCTTGGACTTTCCACCTCCAGAACTGTGAGAAATTTATCTCTGTTGCATATAAGCCACCCAGTATATGGTATTCTGTTATAGTAGCCCAATGGAATAAGACACCATTGAACTGTACACATTAAATAGATGAATTGTACGGTATGTGAGTTATATGTCAATACAGCTGTTATTAAAAGATAGAGGGATGGAGAGAGGGAAGGGAAGAGAGAGACAGGGAGATGGGGAGAGAGAGAAAGAAGAAGAGGGCGGGCAGAGAGAGGGGGAGAGAGGCCTATCAGCAATTGCAATGTGTGAACCTTCTTTAGGTCCTGATTTGAACAAAGTATAAATGAGGGAAATTTGACTCTGACTCTCATATTTGATATTAAAGAACTATTATTATTATTATTTTAGAGTGTAAAAAACCTATGAGAACTTTCATTGCCCCTTACAAAGTTGGAAGCCCTAACATTGCCTACAGACCCCTAATAACCCAGCCCCTACTCCAGCCACCTCCCACTATCCCAAGCCCTCCTCATGCACCTCCACCCCCAGAACTTGCTTCTGCCACAGTAATCTTTTTAAAAATTCTTTGAAAATGTCATGCTATTTTAGTTTCCCAAATTAACTGAGATATCAACCAGACCAACCAATGATTATATTTGATAAGACTAAGGCCCTCAAATCACACCATCAGACAGTGAGAGAACTGGAAGCAGAAGCCAGGGTTCCTGAATCTCAGTACAAGTCCATTGCTAGTGTCTTCTTTTCACACTTAAACTCAAATACCATACATCAAGGGAGTGTTAACGAGATCTTTACTACCATGAATTTCCTTTAAAAATGTAATCCCATTAGAAACTATGTAAAATGGTTTATTTCCAGGCATACAGGTAGCATGATACTGGAGGATGAACATATAGGTAAATTAGAGTCAGAAAGAACTGGGTTTAAATTTCAAATCTACGATGTATTCACCACGCGGCCTTGCAAAAGCCACTTGTCATCCTGAGCCTGTCTCCTCCTGGTAATGTGGGGATGATGAAGAATGGAGAAGACTTAAATAAAAGCACAGCACAGTGCCAAGCACACAGTAGGTCTTCATAAATGACAGGTATTGTTATGCGCTCCCATGTTACTTTACTTACCATGGAAAGTCTATTTTGATTATAGACTTGACTAAGTAAAGAATCCAATTTCTAAAGAATGAAGCTAAAAAAAAAAAAAAAAAGGAATGAAGCTTATCGATACAGAACCAGAAGGCAATAAGTACAACTGCATGACTGGAAAATTCTATTCCATCACCACTGGTCAAAAGAAGTGAATCAGCATTCACATTTCTCTGGTAGGGGCAGTGGAGGAAGAATATGCTCATCTTGCAGAAACTATTTCCCACATGCCATCCTAGCACCATGTCTCTATGTGTCCATATGAAAAGAAGAGATTAATTTCTATGCCACTTAGTTTTACTTATTGTTTATTTTCAAAAATATCAAACCTACAGAAACAAACGATATAGCATTGAATACTGATAACTCTCCACCTACATTCACCAAGAATTAATATCTTCTCAAATCCCCTCTCTCTCATACACACACGTACACACACATGCTTTCCTTTTACCAAACTATCCAAAACTGGACTTAAGACCTTGTGAAATTTCACCCTAAGTAATCCAAAAGGCATCTCTCAAGAATAAACACCTTCTCCTATCCAGTCACACCTTTAAAAAAGGAAAGGGTGATTCAATACCATCATCCAACATACAGTCCACACTCACATTTCCCCGATTGTCTCAAAAATGTCCTTTATAGCCATTTTGTTTGTTTCGATATGGAATCCGACCAAGTTTCATTCACTGCAATTGGCTGTTATTTCTGCTTGGTCTCCCTAATCTGAAACAGTTCCTGCACTTAGCTCTGTACTTCATGACATTCTCCTTGGCAGCATCGAAGCCACTCTTCCCAGGGGCTTCAGGTATCCTCCTACCGCATCACATCAGGACTCCCACCATTAGTGACGCCAAACCTGACCACTTCATTAAGGTCACGGCCAATCTCTACATTGCAAAAGCACAGAGAATACTGTGCTAACATCAACAGCCTCTCATCCAATAGTTTTCACATCCATCCTGAATCAGTTGATTACATTAAGGTTATAACATGAGGAGTTTCTAATTCTCTAACTCCTTCTATATTTGTTATCTGGCATGTTCCTATAAAGCAGAGCTTTCCCCTCCCTGCTCCAGCCCAACTCTCATCACTGTGGACTCATATGGGTTTTTTTAATGTACTTATAATCCATGATCATTAATATTCTTTATTGATGTTCCAACCATCCCAAGTTTGACCAGTGAGAGACCATGTCAGCCAATGTCCTGGCAAGCCCTCAGCTCTCCTTCCATACTTCCTTGCTTTTGGTGCAATAAAGGATCTCAGGCTCGCCATTTCTCTCATGGTTTCTTCTAGTGGAAAGAGAAATTCAGAAACGAAGATCTGGGCATGAGAGATGCTCATAATGGCTGGGATGGCACAGCTTCTACGCTCTTCAGCTGATACAACTAGAAAAGTGAGAGAGAGAGAATGTGTGCGTATTGGGATGGCACAGCTTCTAGGCTCTTCAGTTGATACAACCACAACAGTGAGAGAGAGAGCGTGGGTGTATTTTAACATGACTTCATACTGATACTTTCAACTCAAATCCAGTACCTCACATTCCTCATATTTATGTCTCCTTCCACAGTGAAAATGTTGGTGTCCAACACATCAATTCACTTAGTTGCTCATTTACTCTCTCCTAAATAAACACAAAATAGTTTCAGAATGTCATCAATATCCCTACCGACATAAGCCTACTTAAAAAAGTTCAGTATTTCTTTATCCTTATTGTCGTCATTAGACTATATGTGGTGTGAGTATAACTTTTTAAATCTAGGACTCTGGCAAGCTTACAATAAAAAATTTTTAATGATTCTGTTAATCATAAAATAAGCTTGTTCTCTTAAAATGCGAATGCAAGGTAAAACCTATATATATATAAAATATATACACATTATCAAACTATTAAAAATTAGCTTTCCCATTAAATTTTACTGTACCTGTGGTATTTAAAAAGGTAATGTTAAGCTTCTGTAAATCAATATTAAAGAACATTTAAAAACTACACTTCCTTTTTCCATTAAAACAATAGATCACTATTTCCAAGAAAAAAAAATTAAAATCTTTTTCAATATACATGTGATTTTCTTTAAATGATCTTCATACAATTGATATATTTTATCTATACTTCAACATTATTTCACAAGAAAAAAGTAGAATTGTTTCATTTAAAATGGAAATTTATTCTTCCTATAAAACACAAACCTGGCTGGACGCGGTGGCTCATGCCTGTAATCCCAGCACTTTGGGAGGCCGAGGTGGGTGGATCACGAGGTCAGGTGATCAAGACCATCCTGACTAACACGGTGAAATCCTGTCTCTACTAAAAATACAAAAAATTAGTTGGGCGTGGTGGCGGGTGCCTGTAGTACCAGCTACTCAGGAGGCTGAGGCAGGAGAATGGCATGAACCTGGAAGGCAGAGCTTGCAGTGAGCCGAGATTGTGCCACTGCACTCCAGCCTGGGCGACAGAGCAAGACTCAGTCTCAAAAAAAAGAAAGAAAGAAAAGAAAAAAAAAACCACAAATGTGTCCTTCAGCCTTCCATCGTATTGAAGCAGTGAAGCCGATTTGGGTGCTACCTTATTGGGTAGCACCCCTGCCCTGCCGTAACCTTGGTAAGAACTGTAAGTATTTTTGATGGCTACTCTTCCGCAAGGTTTTCAAGCACGCGTGTCCACCACACAGATTCAGTGACTGCGTTTGACAAATTCCCATCCCTCAACAAGATCAGGCCTTTGCCACCCTTGCATTCTACTTTCAACAAATATACAATCTATATTATGGGTTAAGGATACCAGACTATTATTTCCTCTTCTCCACTGCTATCTATGATGGTACAGATTCCTGAAGCCAAGACCACATTGGTTTTGATTTAAACTTTGACCACAAGGCATTGAATATCCACATGAAAATTGTCAAATTTTGTCAAATACACCATTATGTTTATTTCTATATAATGTTAAACATTTGGATAATTTTTATTTAGTGATATCAGAGAGAGAGGCATCCTAAAGCCTGGATCCGAAATAAAAGGATTGAAATTAAGAATATGAGATTTGAAAACCAACTGCATGTTCTAGCTCTAGAATTTTTTTCTGAAGCTGTTGCACGGCTTCCTCCTCGAACATATTTCTTAACGTGATAGCGAACACTTTGTTATGAAGGGGGCAACATGGAAGAGCAGCCAGCGTACTTCATGGGTTTCTCAGACGGTGGGCGACACCCTCACCTGTGCTACCACTGCTGTCGCTTTGGGAAATGACCAATGTCAATATCCCTAACTGCCACCAAAAAAAGATCAGTGTATCTCTACCTCACCCAGTGACCTTATGCCACTGTCGGTCTTAAAATGGCAAAAAAAAAGGAAGGTAGAAAGCTGTCCTGAAGAAAGACGCTGGTGTGAGCATTCTCCTCCGAGGATAAAGACAACCAAATGTGAGGGAGTAAAAATAGGTCGGGTGGACCAGCAGGGAAAAGGAAGAAAGTATACAGCAGGCACGTGAGAGGGAGACAGGATGAGCCATCAGGAGGGAAAGGAAGGTGGAAGGCAAGGGGGAAAGAACAATTAACTGGAAGAAAGACAGGTTCCTTATTTCCCCACCTCATGCCTCATCCACATGCTCCCCCCAGACAACGGTCCAGCCAGGCCAACTTCTCAGCCATCTGCTGTCTATCCTTAATAAGCTTCACTCATTCCACTTTTGTAATTGTGGTGAAAGACACCTCATATTAAATTTACCATCGTAACCATTTCTAAGTGTACCGCTCAGTAGTGGTAAGTACATTCACACTGATGTACGATCAATCTCCAGCAATTTTTCACCTTGCAAAACTGAAACTCTGCATCCTTTAAACAGCAGCTCTTCATCCCCTCTTCTCCTCAGCCCCTGGAAATCACCGTTCTACCTTCTGTCTCTATGAATTTCACTACTCTAGGAACCTCGACTCAGTGGAATTACATAGTATGTGTCTGTTTGTGGCTGGCTGATTTCTCATAGCATCATGTCCTCAAGGTTCATCCCTGTTGTAGCAAGTGACAGAATTTCCTTCCTTTTTAAGGCTGAATACTATTCCATTGCACAGATAGACCACATTCTGTCTACCTGTTCACCTGTCAACGGGCACGTGGAGCTATTGTGAATACTGCTGCTGTGAACATGAAGTGTGCGTTACTCATTTTTAACAACCTCCTTCAGAATGGGCAGCGCTTCCTCTTTCTTCATATGATTTTTTGGGGGAAAAAAAGTACTTCTGTACTGAGCAAGAGATCCACAGAATCTAAAACAATGAAGAGAAATATTTGTTTCACTGATTCCCCAATCCACCTAGATACCCAAGACCTGATTTAGCTGAAGCTTCTAAATATCCATCCTGAAATCAGCCTTTCCTGGGGCTCTTAATTGCCTTGTGATTCAGATCTAGTGAGTCATCTTCCTGCCCAGGACACAAACAATGGGCAAAAAGAAGCTGACACACACTGGCTCTCGGTCTTAAAAATACCTCTTTATTACACATTCCCTCTGAGTCATAAAAACAAACTCCTTCTCTAGTAGATTTTACATTGGACATATTTATACTTTTATGACTCAATCCAATTTTATTTATATATACATACGTATACATGTGTTTATATATGTTTTTAGATACACACATATACATATATTTGCACACAGACAGTTTTGTTCTCTGTCTATACTTTTCAAGCTGAAGTCCAATTTGCTGATTTTTCAAGGGGATTTTCCACTGCAATACACACACAAATATATGTTCACAACTACATGTGATAAATTTGCCTGTGCAGTTAAGGGAGCCATGTTTCAGAGTGGAGGTGTGTACACATTGAAATAAGAAACTACTTCAGAAGCACCCTCAGTTTTCTTTTGAATAAAACAGACGCAATAAATTGGCCATCATAAACCAAGGAAATAAGGGTCAGGTGGTGAGACACTGACCTTCTAAAACTGTGCTAAACATTTCAAGTCACTTAAAAAGGCCAGGTAACCTTTTAAATGACCTTGGCCTTTACTAAAGGGTGGAGACATGGCCTTCTCATCAAGTGACACACGCAGAATAAGAAATAAGATTGGCAGGTTCATCTTCCCAGTCTAAATAATCTCACCATCGCTTTCCTTCAAAGATTCTAAATTTCAGCCAGACTTGTGCCTTGACCCAACCCAAGCACTCAACGCCCTTTCTCCTGCTAGAATGTTCTCTTTGTTTTGTTTTGTTTTTGAGACACAGTCTCACTCTGTCGCCCAGGCTGGAGTGCAGTGGCGCGATCTGGGCTCACTGCAAGCTCCGCCTCCCGGGTTCACACCATTCTCCTGGCTCAGCCTCCCGAGTAGCTGGGACTACAGGCACCTGCCAACACGCCCGGCTAATTTTTTATTTTTTGTATTTTTAGTAGAGACGGGGTTTCACCATGTTAGCCAGGATGGTCTCGATATCCTGACCTCATGATCCGCCCACCTCAGCCTCCCAAAATGCTGGGATGACAGGCGTGAGCCACCACGCCCGGCCTGCTGTTCTCTATTTCCTGTCCCTTCCTCTCTAAATCCTTTCCACTGACTAAGCTTCCTACAGGAAGCCCTTATTTTTTTTTTTTTTTTTTTTTTTTTTTGAGACAGACTCTCGCTCTGTCACCCAGGCTGGAATGCAGTGGTGCAGTCTTGGCTCACTGCGCCTCCCCAGGAAGGTGAAGCTCCTGGTGAGCTCGGCTCACCTCCACCTCCCCAGGAAGCCCTTCTTGATACCCTCCACAAGTAGGCATGGATCCTCCCTCCCCTAACCTCCTCCTTTACGGATCCCAACTAGATAGAGGGTATGTTGTGAATTATCACCATGCCTCATCCCCACCCCCCCATCACTGCCCACCTGACACACACATGCATGCACCAGCCTCTGCTCCATAAAATCAATACCACCAGTGGTGTCCAGGGAGCGACACGGGTCTGTCCACGCCACACCTTACTGATATATAAAATGAGAGATCCCTGTCTTGCTTCCCACTCCACAGGTTCAAGGGCAGCAGAAACGATGCTGGAAAGGGATGCAACTGGGCAGTGCAGGGAAGGGACATGCAGGAGCTGAAGAGAAAAGGCTGTGCTTTTTAATCCTGCGCGCTTGTCACACACGGGAAAGAACAGGCTTCAGAACACGGGACAGAACAGGCCGGCTGTTTTCATATAAGTCAAATTACCGAGTCAGACAGAAAAACAAACCCACAGATATCTGTCAATCAAACGAGGCCATAATTGCTATGTGAGGCTGCTTTTTTTTGTTGTTTGTTTCTGTAGATTTGAGGTCATATATTAACACATTAATTGGCATTTTGGTCATAATTATCGTGTAGTAAGCCGTTGATTACATGGTTGCATTTTGAAATTTTTAATTGGTTTGTTTCAATTGATAAAAGGTAATTTGTTCGGGGATGATGTTTAGAGTTATGTATTTAATATCACTGAATAGATAATTAATATAATGCAGCAATAGTAAACAATGACTATGGTAATTATCATCGAAGTGCACATATTTGTACAAATATGACAGACTGATTTTCTCTCTCGAGTTGTGTTGGTCTCTGCTCAGAGCCGGTGCACTGTGTCACTTTATTCATAGATGTAATTAGCAGCATCTCTCTCACCCACTTCCTTCAATTTGAAAAGAGCCGAGAATATAGGACAAAGGACATCCTAGAAGCCACGAGGCACTGTACTTTTCCCTCACTGCCGATTACCCCCTTAGAACTTCTCTGCATTTTCAGTCAGCTCTCGGCATTCCTGTAGTTTCAACTGAACCTTTTTATTAAAGTGTTCCTGGGTCATTAGGACACTTTTTCCCCAATCCAACAGAGCAACTGCAATCCCAGTGTAAGAAAGCCTCCCTTGGTGGTTTAACTAAATTCAGGAGGAAAAAACAGCACTTACCAGCAACTATTTGTAAATTGACAGATAAAGTTGGCAAAAAAAAAAAAAAAAAAACCACCTTAGTGTTTATAAAATCTGCTCTCCTAACAACAACAAAAATTCTTACAAGAAATAGCATGAACATTATGGGCTCCATTTTAAAAGCTCTGCCTCTTTGTCATCAACAAAGTTGCTGTGTTACAGACTGAGGCTTCCCTTGTGGCCTGGGACCCTGTCACCATCAACCAGCCGGTCCCAGAAATACACAGAACATCCCAGACAGGGATAGGGCAAGAGCAGACAGCAGCCTGGGGCCCCCTACTCGTGGGTGCTGAAGAGGTTATTCCTGTGCCTCGGATGCCCCTGCCATAACCTTCTCTCTTCCTCCTCTTCCCCCCTCTGGCGACAGGGTAGGAATTCAAAGGCAGCCGCACCACCAGAAGAAAGAAATGACTCTGTTACCTGGTGCTATCCCATCTTCCTCTCTCAGCCTCTCCAGAGCAGAGGAAAGGGTGGGCTGCCCCCTCCCCAGCACCCAGCCCCCAGAATAAAGCACACAACACTGGCACTGGCTTGCCAGGACACCCAAAACTGGGACTCACCTCACAAGATCAAAGTAAAACAGATGAGCCCACATGAGTCAATTCCTAGATTAATAAACCTAAAGACTGGGGCAAGGGAACACAACTGGGAAGATACAGAGGGAGCTGCAGAAAACCGAGGGGTTAATTTATATGAAAAGGTAGTCAGGCTTAGAGATCAACAGTATCATCTGAAAAGCAAGAAGACAAAACTAAAATATGGTTTGTTTCATCTTATTCTAAAAAGTATTTTTTAGTATTTGCTAAACTTCTAGAGAAATGTAAAATAGCTTATTGTCTTGCATATATGGAAATCCAAATTTTTGGGGGTGGGGAAGCTCAGTTGATAGAAGGGCATGTTAGCAACCTTAAGTGACACAAGCTGCACGAACATAATCTCATTTGGGCCTCACAACAGTCCCGGCAAAGGTAAGAGGACGGGTGTTGTCGTTCCATTTTAGAGATGTAGAAACTGAGGCCGAATGATCTGCCAGGAGCCACATTTCTAGGATGTGATGGTACCCACCGTGGCACTACTGATGGGGAGCTCAGAGCGCTGTGCCCTACAGCACAAATATGTCGTCCCATGTGCCACAAACTAGTGCTTCTCAAATATTAGTCATTTCCATACCACCTTTGTGGTTTCTGCCAACTGTGCTATTATTTACGTATTTCATGGAAACCACTATATGTACACGCATTTATTTTCTAAAGAGAACTCCATACCACCACTACAAATGGACAGCCTGTGACTGTCCACAGACAGAAGGTAGACACACAATTAATACAGTGAAAACCAAACAATGTTATTAAAACGTTAGCCTGCCCAATGTTTCCCTTCTCTCTCTGCAAAAAGGGGAAATTGGCAAGTATCACGAGGTGGCGATGTAAGTTGTAATAAGGTGCGACCTTCTCCCTTCAATCAGCACAGGCCCTGGAGGGGCCTGGGCAGGGAGGGCAGCAGGACAGAAGTTGCATAAAGAATTTCTCAGCCGGGCGCGGTGGCTCACGCCTGTAACCCCAGCACTTTGGGAGGCCGAGGCGGGCGGATCACCTGAGCTCGCGGAGTTTGAGACCAGCCTGGTCAACACAGTGAAACCCCATCTCTACTAAAAATACAAAAACTTAGCTGGGCATGGTGGTGGGCACCTGTAATCCCAGATACTTGGGAGGCTGAGGCAGGAGAATTGCTTGAACCCGGGAGGCGGAAGTTGCAGTGAGCCGAGACTGTGCCATTGCACTCCAGCCCAGGCGACGAGAGCAAAACTACGAATAAAAAAAAAAAAAAAGTTAGCCAGGTGTGGTGGCATGTGCCTATAATCCTACCTACTTGGGAGGCTGAGGCAAGACAATCACTGGAACCTGGGAGGCAGAGGTTACACTGAGCCAAGATTGAACCATTGCACCCAGCCTGGGCGACAGAGTGACACTATGTCTCAAAAAAAAAAAAAAAATTTACCAGCGACACACACAATCGCCAGATCCTCCACCCCTCACTCGGACTCATCGGAGTTGTCCTACCTTCTCCAGTTCTGCATGTCTTTAATTACTTCTCAACAAGTTATGATTTTTTTTTTTTTGAGACAGAGTTTCCTTTTTTTTTTTTTTTGCGACAGGGTCTCACTCTTTCACCCAGGATAGAGTGCAGTAATGAGATCTTGGCTCACTGCAGCCCTGACCTCCTGGGTTCAAGCAATCCTCCTGCCTCGGCCTCCCAAAATGATTACTTGTTAAATATAACTAAATTCCCGTTTTTTTTTTTTTAAGATGAAGTCTCACTCTCTTGCCCAGGCTGAAGTGCAATGGTGCGATCTCAGTTCACTGCAACCTCTGCCTCCCAGGTTCAAGAGATTCTCCTGCCTCAGACTCCCAAGCGGCTGGAATTGCAGATGTGCACCACCATGCCTGGCTAATTTTTGTATTTTTAGTAGAGATGGGGTTTCATCATGTTGGCCAGGCTGGGCTGGAACTCTTGACCTCAAGTGATCTGCCTGCCTCAGCCTCCAAAGTGCTGGGATTACAGGCATGAGCCACCGTGCCTGGCCTAAATTCCTATTCCTAATTTTAAAAACAACATTTTCCCTTTCTCATAAAAAAAAAAAAAAGAAAAACTCTTCAGCCCTGATCTAAAAATTAAAGCAGGGTGCATTATATGAAGGGATACATTTTAACATACTTCTGAATGGATCACATTAGTTAAGAAGGTTCATCCCACCCATCCTTGCGTTTCCAGAAATAGAATATTATCTGTAACTCTTATCTAAAAAGATGTCTCCTTTCCGGCTGCAGAGCCGAGAGGAGCCCTTTCTGCCCACTGCCTCCGAGTGCTCGCTTTGCCAGGCTGGGGTCTCACGTCAGCCCCACGGCTGTGCCCGCAATGGAGTCACTTTGGACCGTGGCCAAGTGCACAGGTACGGGCAGCAACACCTCAAACCATGGGAGACTCGCTTCCCCTTTCCGGTCCCTCTAAAGTCGTTTTCCCGCTCTTTGGAGTTTCGCATCAGTCTGAGGAACACGGTTGTTGTGGTCCGGGGTCTCTGCACTGCTCAGAGTTGAAGGGCGGTGAACTCGCTGGAGTGACAGTCCAGAGAAACGGTGACCTGTCTCCGAGCCCCTGGGACGTGGGGGGTGCCACAGATGCTAGGAGAATGCAGGAATCCTCCAGGCAGCATGGGCTTCCCTGCCTGTGAGCTGGTGGTTGAGCACCCTTCTCGTTACAGCCTTTCCATGCAGATGGCCATGCCAAGAGCAGTGCCAGGCATCAAGAGGTGGCAGACTGTCCCCAGGACAGCCCCATGGCCCCTGCCTCCTGTTCTCATGCCCTGTGTGACCCCTTCTACCCTGTACACGGTTGGTTGGCGTCACCCATAGGAGACAGAGTGTGTCACTTCCCAGGCAGGGTTATATAAAGACACTGTGACTTTCACTCATTCCTGGACCACACGCCTTGGGAGAAGTCAGCCACTGCGTTGTGAGGACATGGGGACAGAGGTGGTGAGGCCTACGTGGTGAAGGTCTGAGGCCTCCTGCCAACAGCTGATGACTGAGCTGCTGCGGAAGCTGACCCTCCACACTCCCTAGGCTCGGTGGCCAGCCCCTTTGCTGGGGTCAGAGCCACATTCCCATCTTGCTCCAGGATGGATCGCCGGTTCCTTGAATCCAACACATGCAACACTGAGCATGTCACATCCTCCAGGCCTGCTCCTTCTCATCTACTCTGGCTCAAACCTGAGGACCCGTCAGACCCTCTCTCCCACTCGTGCCACATCCAGACAGCACCGGGCCCTGCTGACATTCTGCTCTCTGTGTCCCTTACATTTGTCACCTGATTTCGACTCTCACTGCAACCGGCACTCATCTGTACCTGGGAAGGGCCACCTCGCCTCTGCCGGTAACCCAACAAGGCCCCAGCTGGCGTCCCAGCTTCCAGAAACCATCTACCACAGGTCTGTGAGTAGCTTTTTAAACAATAGTGTGAATGTGCCAAGACCCTACTTTAAAACTTCCAATGGCTCCCTTTTGCAAATAGGTTTTGCAAACCTTTCAGCAAGCCCTTCCAGGCTAAGATAAAGCCCCACCTCTCCTTCCAGCTGAACGCTATGTCCAGCGTCTGCTCCAGCCCAGGGCTCCTAAGGAGGCTCAGACCAGCGCCACGCCCAGAAAGTGTGATTTCATCAGTATGCAGCAGTATTTTTTTTTTAAATAACACCTTCACTGAGATATAATTCACATACCATACAACTGACCCATTTAAAGTATACAATCCGATGGCTTTTAGTCTATTCAGAAAGTTGTACAACCGCCGCCACATTCCATTTCAGAACACTGTCATCACCCCCAAAATACCCCTGGTACCTGCATCCAGCCACTCCTAGTTTCCTCGAAACCCCCAGCCCTCGGCCCTCAGCAGCCACTCACCTGCTTCCTGTGTCTGGATTTCAGGCAGCAGCTGTTTTACTCACAGTTCTCTACCGATGCAAGAGCATCCCAGGGAGAGAACCTCTGGCCAGACGAGACCTCACCCTGCTTTTGCTCACAGTTTCACCCTTCTGGGGATGTCTTTCTTTTATTTCTGTGTTTAAAATTCTACCCACACTGCAAAGTACACTTCAAATACAACCTCCTCCATTAAACCTTCACTCTCTCTTCTCTTCCTCAGTTTACTCTAACATCACCCAAATAGCTAGGGGAAAAAAAACCCAAAGCAAATATGGGTTCTTCCTTTACGATCGCACCATTCTTTGCTGCTCTAGGGTTATGTGGTCATGCTTGTTTTGTTCTGGTCCAAACCACACACTCCTGGACAGCAGGAACCATTTCTAACTCAGCTCTGAATCTGCAGTGACTACAGCGCACTGTTTGCATGTAGTAGGTACTGAAAGTATATACTCCAAATACATAAATATACGGTCTGTTTACAAATTTTCTCCACTGTTACAGATTTCAAATTGGAGGACACGCTCCCGTCCTCTCCACCCACACCAAATCCTTATTTTTTTCCCTTAATAATAGTAATGATGAAACAATGATATTGAATAAGCTTTCAAGTTACAATGCCAAAATCATTACACACACACACACACGTGCAGATGCGGGTGTATGTATATCTGTGTGTGTATGTGTGTAATTTTTAAATTTTCACTGCAGTGAGCCAGGACAGTTATACAATAAGCCATGTATAATTATTAATCCACCATCATTCGGGAGGCAGCATGTCTTACACATTTCAGGGAATCCACTTGCCAAGAATAATTTTTATATTGAAGGATTTTGAAAGTGAACAGGTCACAGGGTCACATCATCAGAATGTATAAACATCAAAAGTACAAGAAGGCCACCCGCCCCGTGGATGGAGTGCTCACAAACACGCCTCTTCAGAGGATGCCTGCTTGCAGGGCCGGGCAGTAGAAAATGAATTATGCAGGCGGCAAGCAACCTAAAAAATCAGATGGTACACTCTTCAGGCTAAAACACAGCCTGAATCAACAAGCGAGATGCTGCCTTAACATGGATTAAACACACTTGAAAATCATATACGGTCATTTCACAAAGAGCCTTATCTAACCGAAATGTCTTATTCCATCCTTTATCAGTTGGCCTTTCTTTTCTAATGCAAAGCTATTCTTCGTATGAATTATTTTATTCCTATTGTTTGTCTTAAGGAAGGAAAAGCTGATCCCCACATAGAACAGGTGCTCCGATCGGACGGTTCTCGCCTCGCACTGCATAGGCCCTGCCTGTCCCTGGAGTTTGACTCAGCTCCGCCAGTGAAAAATTAGACTTCATTTCAGTATGCTAATAGCAATCTCTCCAAAACAATGTAATCAAGGCCTCATGTGCACCTATAATTTCATCCTTGACATAAGCCTGACAGCTATTTATTGTCTGAAAGGAAAAGCAGGGAGAGGCGGGGGGAGGGGAAAGGAGACTCCTACATGCCCCCTCCCCCAAAACGAGCCCAGCAGCTTTATGTTTGAAGGCAGAGTCTTTGCAAAGTCCAAAAAAATGGCAATAATCATGGGGTTTACATGTGTCTTGTCTTAAGCAATCAAGGCACAGAGTTAACAGAGAAGCACAGTCAGATGTGCCAATCCCCCAACTGCCCACCTCTGATGAGCCAGCTGTGAGCCGCAATTGTCACATTATAATTTAGGCAAAGAGAAAAAAAAAGGCATGAGATACACACTGGATCAACATAATTATTCACAGCAGGATGCTGCAGAATTAATTTAGCCAATCAGAATTATACTTGGGGGTTGGGCACATTGCAGAGATCAAGGAAAAAAAGCAGGGAGAGGGAAGGGGGAGGAGGGGGGGAAGCGCTGTTTTCAACACCTTACTGGTATTTGGATAATCTGATCTTGAATATATTTTGAATACATGTACGTGCAATATTGGTTCTGTTTCATCTATTTACAAACACCTATACAACACTGATGGCGTGCCAGTCACCAGTCTAAGCGCTTCACAAATATTAACTTACGTCATCCTCACGGACTCTGAGGTAGGTACTACTATTACGCTGGTTTTAGGTACTGAAACTCAGAGAGGTTCAAAAACTTGCCAAGGTCACACACCTAGGAGGTGGCAGAGCCAAACACTGAACCCAGGCAGACTGGCTCCAGAGGCTATTAACAAGCGTGGCTTAACAGTTCTCGCTCCTAAACAAAGCAATTTGCAATATGAAGACACACTACGACTAGCGATATGCACCTAACCTAGAACATGGCACCACGAGACTTCACCGCTCCTATGTTCCTTTAACCTGACTTTCCTAAAGATGGTGGCGATCCGGCCCTGCTAAATCCGGTCACTATACTATAGGGTTGTTCACTTCCCTGTCTGGGTACTGTTACCACCAGACTTCACAAATGGGAAAAGCAAGCCACCATCCCACGAGCCTCACGAGGCTCTGTGATTCACCACAGAACATCCTCAACAGGAGTGGCGTCTTGGTCTCCCCTGCTTCTTGACACGGACTTCCTATAGAAAAGCAGCAGACAAGAATCTACAAAATCGATGAGAAAGAAAGAAAAAGTCGGCTGCTCCAAGAATAAGAATAAGGTTTGAGGAAGAGTTAGAGGTCACATTAAAACAACTTTTTGTCTGGATATGTATCTGAAGAGTCAGGTTTGCAGTGACGCAAAATGGTGCTTGCCCTTCCCATGGGCACAGGGTGATTGGAAACGAAAGTGGCCCTCTTGCTTGGAATTCTGTCATGAGGGTAGATATCAGAGGAGCCAGAAGGAGCCCTGATTTCCTTGCAAAAGTTAGACTTCAGCTTGCATTTGCTGCTTCTGGTAACGGGGAAAATGACAGGGAGCGACCCGGGGTTTTATGTCTGGCAATAATGTTTGATCTATGCCATTGTCGATGAGAACTGCGATTTAATCCATAAGGATATAGAGCCTCGTGATGAAAGGGGAATAACGACAAATCCTGATTAACAATCGCTGCGACACTAAAGCAGGTTACCATAGTAACGGGGCTGAAATTATACAACAAACTGGGATGCCATACCAGGCAAATTACTCCGTGAAGGGACCCTTTTCTGAAAGCATTTGGCTTTCTGTGTTCTCTTAAAATTAAGATGCCAGCATTTTACTTTCAACGGGTATCAGCCTCCCTCTCTTTTTTCTAAACACTCCCTCTTCACTTGGTCTCGGGTGATGTGAGGGATAAGTACATGTGCACAGGAAATGCAGCAAACAATTAAGCACATTTCAGCTCCTCTTTCCCCGTGAAAGAAGAGGACAAACCAAAACGACGGTGCAGGGAATCCTCCTTTCATCCCATTCTTTGGATAAAAATTACGCTTAATTCTTTGATGGAGGGAACTGGGGAAGTCAAAGCATGCCCCAGTGAAATCTTCTACTTCTTACTCCACATAACAAAGTTATCTGGATTTATGGGGAAATGGAGCAAAATAAAGGATCAGGGTGGGAACTGGGAAAAGGAAGGTGCTTTCTTTGTTCTGAAGAATGTTTAATTTTCAATTAGAGTTTTTGGAAATAAAAACATGGTTTAAAGTATTATTTTCTAATAGTTACTCAAAATAATTTCAAAAACCAGGCAATAAGTGAATCTGCATTGGAAAACATCACTTTAAAACTATTATGGCTATTATCGCAACTGACTTTGGCAGTTCCTTTACAAAATAGATCTTATCAAATAGTCCGGGAAAAATCTACTACATTTAAGCATCACACTCACTGTCTTCTTTCAATTGCAGAGGACATTAAAAACAAACAGAAGTCAGAGTTGTAAATAACCTCCTAAAGAGACTAAAGATTGGAGGGAAGGTTAAAGAAATTCAGACACTGCAGATATTTAATATTCCTCCTTCCAGGAGAGGGGAAAAATCAGAGCTTCACCTTTGTCAGAAATGCTACTGCTCTGAAAACCACATTTCCCTAGAGATTGATCCATGGCTTTCCACTTAAACCACTGAAGGGCAGTGCAGCCTAGAGGACAGAACACGGATTTAGAAGCAGAAGCCCTCAGGTGCCATCTCCATCACTTGCCAGCTCTAAGACCGCAGTCCAGACAGTCCTCTGGGTCTTGGTTTCCTCTCCTGGAAAATGGGAATCCTATTACCTACCTCGTTGGCCTAGAGAAGTTTCTGAGATAACTAGGGAAACACTGTACATAAGGGCCAGGCACGGTGGCTCATGCCTGTAATCCCAGGAGTTTGGGAGGTCAAGGTGGGTGGATCACCTGAGGTCGGGAGTTGCAGACCAGCCTGACCAACATGGAGAAACCCCGTCTCTACTAAAAACACAAAATTAGCTGGCCGTGGTGGCAAAGGCCTGTAATCCCAGCTACTCGGCAGTCTGAGACAGGAGAATCGCTTGAACCCAGGAGGCAGAGGTTGCGGTGAGCCAAGATCGCGCCATTGCACTCCAGACTGGGAAACAAGTGCGAAACTCCATCTCCAAACAAACAAACAAAAAAATCCTGAAAATTGGGAGAGTACTGATGGTTAAACAACTGCTAAATCTCGTGATCCAGTCATCAACATTGACTGAGTGCCTACTACCAGCTAGGCACAGTGCAACCACGGTAATCCTAGAACCCCATTTTCACCTGGCAAAAAACCTGCTGCCAAGTTTTGTCTCTAGCAAATTCTTATTGGCATTTTATGCCAGGTCAAAAGAAGAAAGCAAACTAAATTAAAACAAAAAAAAAAAAAGCAGGCATTTGTCAAGAGGTGAGTTCCTTCACTCTGGTCCCATTTATCTGTGTATCTTTCAGAGGTCTACTACAGCATTGACTGCATTAAAATTAGGATACAAATTATGTGCACAGCAGAAGCCAGAAGGCTGGGATGTGACTCCATGCATGCTTAGCTCTAAGGCTTCTGTGTGTTCTCTGAGTGGGTTTCTTTGTCTCTGCCATAACTATCCCCGCACTTCTAGTGGTTAGATGAAGCAGGAGGGGAGATGGCTGGGCCTGTGTGGGTGACAATGTATGTCTTGTGCATTGGAGTGCGTTTTCCTTTCTGGTGCCAGGCTTCTTGGGTTCAAACCTCAACTCATCCTTGATCAGTTGTGTGCTATCACACAAGTCATGGAAACTTTTCTAGGTCTGCTTCCTCACCTCTGAAGTGGGGAAATGGCAGTTGCACAGGCCTCCCGACGGTGATGTGAGGATTATAAGGCGTGAGGGGCGAGGCACACAGAACCAGGCCTGGCACAGGGTAAGCACTCAGTATAACGTCCACTCCCATTTCTGTGGGTGTTCAGAACCCAGGGTCTACGCTGGTGGCCAGTGGATGACAGATGAATTTCCTTTGGTGAGCGCAGGGTTTGTTGGATTTGAGTGCCTTTGGACAGAACAGGCCCTCTACAACTCACTGCATCTGCCCATCACCTTTTCTTATCTTACACCAGTATTTGCACAGCCCCCAAAAAGGACTTCCGTTTGCCTGCCTTGCATATATTCATCTTTAGGTGTATGGCTCGTTTTGTCTGTGTCTCACTCTGAGTCCTTGATTTTTTTTCTTTATTACTGTGAAGTCTCCGAGTGTGTCTGTGTCTGTGATCTTTCTCTTTCCTTCTCTTTTTCATCCTCAATCACTCATTTCTATTTTTAGCCATTAGATAGATTTATGTCCCTGTTCTTATTTTTTTAAAGCAAAGTAGAACGTACTTCTCTCTTAAAGGAGTTAAGCTTCTTTTTAGTCAGTTGATCTTGACTCATTTTTCCTGTGCACTGGTAACTTCTGATAGAAAATGTGCTCTCTCCATCCCTGCTGCAGAAAAATCCAAATTATAAAATAGAGAAACCGAGAAATTATGCATATTACACAACAGTTCATGTAGGGGTTGTATGTTTGTTCATTTGCTTGTAATATCAGGCCCTTGGTATGCTAAAACGTGAATTTATTATAGGCCATCAAATTCCAAATCTCGTAGATCAAGGTAAAGCTAAACATTTATGGCAAATGCCTGAAATGTGAAAACCAATCAAAAATAAAAATAGGAAATCTTTGTAAAGCTATGCAAATGATGGGGTTCAGGACATGCTACCTGAAAATATGGCACTGTGGCATTCAAGAAAGCAGCAGAAGCAGGAAGGCTACTCTATGCCCTTTTCCTGCCCTTCTCCCCTATGGCAGGTCATAAGATTCTCATTGGTGAAGTGCCCTCCCTGTAACTGGAGGAAGGAACAACCACATCTATGAATACACAGGGACACAGAGAAGAATCAGAACCAACAGGACTTGCTGAGTATCCCTCTGTTTATCACCATTAGCTCACTCCTCCTTTGTCTAATCACACCACACTCCTCCACATCTGTCCTCTCTTCATCAAACCTAAGCATACAATACACAGGTTTCCCTGTTTCCCTCGCTCTTCATTTCGGAAGGCTCCCGTGTCGCAGAAAACTTGCATCAGATAAATGTATACTTTTTTCCTGTTCATCTGTCTTTTGCTATAGATGACTCAGCCAGAAACCCAGCGATGGGTAAGAACAGAAATCTTCTCTCCCCTACACAAATAAAATATGGGCACTTTACACACAACACTGAGGAAAACAATCCTTCTCTACTTCTTACACTCAGGACACTTTCAGCAACACCTGTGCCAATCACTATTCACAATAGCAAGGATATAGAAATAACCTCAATGTCCACCACCAGATGACTGGATAAAGAAAATGTGGTGTATATACATATACATACATACAGTGGACTACTACTCAGCCAAGAAAAAGAATGAAATCAAGCAATATGAATAGAACTGGTGGCCATTATCTTAAGTGAAATAACTCAGAAACAAAGTCAAAGACTGTATGTTCTCACATGTAAGTGGCAGCCAAATAATGTGTATACATGGACATAGAGAGTGTAAAAACAGATATCGGGGACTTGGGAGGGTGGAAGCAGGATGAGGGATGAGAAATTGCTTAATGGATACAATGCACACTGTTTGGGTGACGGCTACAGTAAAGCCCAGGCTTCACCACTACGCAACAGATCCATGTAACAAAACTGCACTTGTCCCCCGCCCCCGAATTTAGTATAAAAAATAAGTGAAAATAAAGATCATGAGAAGTGGTTTAAAACATGCTATTTTTAAAACAAGAATCATTTAAAATTAAGAATATTGCTTTATCATTCCAATATTCAAATCAGTGCTTTTATTATTCACAGATTACATGTTCTTAAAATAGATTAGCAAATCTGGCCCACTTTACATCATAACATTCTCAGATTCTTTCTGATGAAATATCAACAGTGAAAAATTCACAAAACATCAGAAACTCAAACCTCAGTATTCTTCGGCATTTTCCACTCAAATACAAGAAATTCAAATTGATCCTTCTAATGGGATAGTAATGAAAGCCTTTAAAATAACAGAATCTTAGATCTCAAAAGAACAGACTGGCCTAATGTAACACCCAACACAGAGGTCTACTCCTCAGGGACTGAGACTGACAGCACCCAGCCTCTACCTGTGTATTTCTGGGGACAAGGAGCTCTAGGGCCACCTGTTTCTGGTAGCTAGCTCTGCTGCTGTGAGTCTCGCTGCTGCTGCTGCTGCTATCATTTTAAGAGTGAATCCAAATCACTCTCACGGAATTTTCCACCCTTTGGCCTTAGTTCTGCACTAGCACAGTTGTACTAAGATAAGGGGAGTGGTTTTGCAAGTGGCTTTTACCCAGATAAAATTGTGAAATAAATCAACAGCGAGCAACCTCTTTTTCCAAGGATGATTCAGGAAGAAAAAAATAAATGTGTTTAGAGTCTTCTATTCCATTCAAAATGCAAATAACTTAATTTAGTCCCATGGGAAAATAGGAAATATTCTTGCAATTCAGATCACCCACTACATTGAATAAAAGAATGTCACTGAAAAGACTGACATATTTGAGAAGTAGAGACATGAAAGCAGCCGTCTTATTTCTTATCCTGGCAAAGGAACAAAGAATGTATTTTGAAAACTGGTGGGCTGTGTGTGTCCCGTGGGCCAGAATGCTCAACATCGAAGTTGCAGCAAGATTCTGCCCTGCCTTGGGCCTCCCTTTCTTCTCCTTCTCCCTTCACTGTGACATCCACACCGTGTCCCGCGGCTCCCACACCCTCCCATCTTCAAGCTTTTCTGTAGATAGCACCTTTTTCTTTAGATAGCACCTTTATTGAAACCAGCTGACACCAATGAATTACCTCTCAAAGAGATATCCATTTTAAAATCTTTCACCTCTATCTGTACTGCACAGGGATACATCCCAGTCACGCCTCTCTCAACATTCTCCAATTTACCACCCATCACTGAACAAAACAATCCAGAAAGAGTCTGACCAGCTCCAAGAAGCCAAGGCTCTTATTTCATCTATATACGCCTGTGACCCAGTGAAATGAGCACTAAACTAAGTCACATTCCAATCCCTGCTGCCTTATGCATTACCTGTGTGCTCTTGATCATGGTACTAATCTCCCTGATCTTCAGTTTCCTTCTATGAAAAATACAGACACTAGAGATAATGCCTTTGCGGTCTCTTCTTCAGGGTCAAATAAAACAATGTATAAAAACATGCCTCTACAGTAATAAAACTTTGTATTTACTTAAGGGATCCCTATAGCTATATAATTAACGTATTAACATAATGGTTTTCAAGTTTCAGGGGGTTACCTGGAAGGGGCAGGGCAGGCACCCATCCAGGCTCTAAGCTCCTTATACCTCCCCAGTCACCACTCCCACTGCCCACTTTGTGCACAAGGTCCCAAATCAGAACACTGTTAGGAAGTGGGGTCTCCCACTTTAGACAAGTTTGAAAACCACAGCATTCGCTATTTTAGCTGCAACATCACATGACTGATTCCTACTAAGCTTATGGTCAGTTCTTTCTAATGGGTTAGTTCGTTTGTTATAGAAGCCCTTTTCATTGAATTCTCTTATTTCCCAGTATACCACAATCTTGGAATGAAACAGGGCACAGAATAAGGAAATAAATACCGATTCCAGGTGTATATTTGAGGCAGCCTACTTTGCTTGCTCTCAAAGAAAGCAGTTAACAACTTGTGAAAGTGGAAAGAACCTTTCAGATGATGGCCGTGAAAAATGGCAGGCACCAAGACGTTCCTAAGTCAAACAAAACCATAAAACCATTCCTGTACTTGATTACACAAATGCAGAAAACCAATTTTTTAAAATATGCTTTTAAGTCGAGAAATAAAAGCAGAAATGCTATTTTTGAAAACTCACGTCAAAATAAAGAAGGCTCCAATGATGATTTGCTGGGCGAGCCACCCATCGTCCCAGCAAAGCAGACGAGCTTTGTTCTGTTAAATGTGTGCCCTCTTCAGAACACAACAAGGATCTGAGGATGGAAGCGAATTTTTGTCTCAGGCCAACGCACATCACAGGTTACTGCAGAATTCGACAAAAATATATATTTGATCTATCTATACGGTAAAGAGGCTAACAGTCTTTTTGGGCCCATGACGACAATGACTAGAGAGGTGTTTGACAGACTATTTGCCGTCCATGCTGGACAGACAGCAGGGTGGACACTGAGTACAGGGATGTGGAGAGAAGAAGACACAAGTTCTAATTTTACAAAGACACACCAAGAATGGGGAAGGAGAGGGCAAGACACACAGTCACAGGTGAAACCCCCAACAGCAATGAAGTGTGTCCTGCAAGGAGGGGACCCGACATTGAACCCCTGACCCCGAGTGGGCTCCTGCCTTGCCTCAGGGCAGCTGTGATGATGCTACTGCAGAAGCTTCTGGAAGGCCTGCATCTAACCAGTATCCCTTGACGTAAAGGCTCTCGTTCCCACTGTGTCAAAAGAGATATGCTACAATGTACAGGCCCACACTTGTGATTTTTCAAAGTGCTATAAATTTAAAAATGAGGACAAGTCCATAGCTCCTGTCAAGACATATGATTCCATACGGCTACTGGTTATCTGCACTTTTTAATCTTGTGGGCTCCCGAGCTGGGACTTGTTTCTTGCGTACGAGAGAGGAATGGTGGCTCCAAGGAGCTCAGAGCTTGCTAGGCTCAGGGTGAACAAAGCTGTGTAACATGAACGAGACCTTCTGAGAGGAAAGGCAATGTTAGGCCTTGAACACCAAACCCTTTCTCCCCAGAAGTCCGATAGCAGAAGCTAGTTGAGATAGATAAGGACGCCCTCCTCTACCATGTGGCTGAATGCCTGGCTCCCTTCACCAATGTGCCTCTCTGCACCGCAGAGCTCCTCTCTGCCCGGGGTCCCTGTGCCCAGCGTGACTGCAAGCCCTTATCACTTAGTTGACTTCTAAGTTACAGCCCATGTGTTACTCACTTTCATGGCCTAAAATTTAAAATGGATAGAATACAGTGTTCCAGATGCCACACAGGCCTAAGTCCCAGCCTCACAGTCAGCCCTAACTCACCCGACATGCAGGTCCCCTCACCTCATGGGGCCTACTTCTATTAAACAACCACAGTGCAACACGCAGCCCCCAAGGATCCTTCTGGATCTTCAGTTCTGTGATTATTAGATAAAGCATCTGAGGATTCTACCTTTCTGCATGGTTCGTTATGCCTCTGTGAAAAGACCCACGTGTCTGTAGGCCTGTGAAACACTTTGGGGATGTCTCAACAAAATTCCAGAACTGCGTCTGCCAGTTTGCGTATATGCAAACATGTGCTGGGCTGAACCACTTGGAATTACCGATATTTGGCTCTCTTTGCCCATAAAAATGGCAATTTCATATGGGTCAACCTAAGTATATTTAGCATAGGGGCACGCGAATGCACAGAATGTTGCTTTCATCTTATATTCAGCTGGTGTGCATGTTATATGCTTGGGATCATGAACCATACCTTTGCCTGACCATAGTATAAATTTAAGTGTCATCATGTATATTAAATACCTAATATAATACCTGGCACATTAGTCATTATCCCAATATTATGAATTGAAGTCATTAATATTACTCGTTGGTAACTTTACTTCCACTGTTTTTCAGCACAATAAAATGACTTCTTCCTCTCTTATATAAAACAGAGCAAAAGAGCATTTTAGGTAGAATGGAACTGGCAAAACTCTCTCATGCCAAGTAAACTGGGATTTCTTTTGTCACCTTAGAGATTTAGGTTTCAACGGCAAAAACACCGAATGACTTTCTCCTCACCACTCTGCCTCTCTATAAAATAGGCAACCCCCAATGTCACAGAGGGCATGGCCTGAAAAGTGGGGAACCACGGCAGGTATTGCTTATATAGGACTTTTTACAAAGAAATAAAGAATTGTGTATTACAAGAGTGAAATAGAAATGCTGATGACAAAGTGTCAAGTTCTAAAATGACAGTGCCTCTCTCATTGATCTTTGACCAGTATCATTCCTACACCAGCTTCCTCTTCACCTTAAAGTAAAGCTGAGGTCAGATATTACACAAAATGTTAATGTGATTGAGAGATTTACAAATTCACATTCCTCCGTTGGTTCCCTTAGCAACAGCTCTAGCTTTTACAGCCCACCTAGGCTACACAACAAACACTCCGGGGCAAGAGCTCTTTGGGACTGATTTCTTAGAAACCCTACCTTGCAGTCAGAACACAGCTTGTAAAACAACATTTAAACAGAAAATGCAACGGCATGTTTAATCAAAGACTTAAAGATATACTTCAACCAAGCGTTTGGTCTAGTTGCTCTGTTCTGCCATAGGAGAAGACTGCCCTCCTAGACATTTCACTAATACCTCTCTAAAGCAGTCGGACTGTTTCCTGTCACCACCAGGCTTCCGAGTTCTGATACGAGGCGTGCAGTCATGCCTGGTCTGCCGTCCACAGAATGACCACAGGTCACGGGTAAACTTAGACTCGAGCCTGTGCCGCAGGATGAATCCCTTGGCCGAAGGGTCCTGCAGCAGGAGCACATGCTGACAGTGCCTTGGTATGTGAGACAGGCATGGATGTGCCCCACGGTCACCGTGTTTGGGAGCAACACCGGCACAGGGATAAACTGAAACCCCCATTGCGAAGCAGCTAATGGGGCAGGACAGGCACGTATCTGCAGTCTGTCTGCTGCCTCTACATGAGCTCAGCACTGAGAATGTCAAGTGTTGTGCTGTGTTTCCAAACGGTAAACACCCAGAAGCTGGAGGCTTCTTTTTTCCCATTGTCTTACGTGGTAATAGCAACCAACGTGCTCATGGAATATCATGACACTTCCAGTGAAACAATAGAAAGGTGCAGAGAGTGAACACAGGAGGTCGGATGGCACGAGAAAGGCATTTCATAATTTATCACCACAGAAAGTCCTTTAAGATAGGATCCAGGCCGGGCACAGTGGCTCACACCTGTAATCCCAGCACTTTGGAAGGCTGAGGTGGGCAGATCGCCTGAGGTCAGGAGTTGGGAGACCAGGCTGGCCAAGGTGGTGAAACCCCTTCTCTACTAAAAATACAAAAATTAGCCAGGCATGGTGGCAGGTGCCTGTAATCCCAGCTACTCAGGAGGCTGAGAAACGAGAATCACTTGAACCCAGGAGACAGAGGTCACAGTGAGCCGAGATTGTGACACTGCACTCCAGCCTGGGCGACAGAGCGAGACTCCATCTCAAAAAACAAACAAAAGAACAACAACAAAAAAAAACCATAGGATCCAAAGAGCTAAACTGACAGGTCAGGATAATATCCTGTTAAGGTTCAGCCTCCAAGTATCACAGTCTTAACAGTCACTACCATTTCCTGAGCACTTCCCCTGTGCCAGGCCACATGCTTAGTACTTTGCATCTGTCTCGTCCTTTAAGCCTAACAATAACCCTGTGATGTAGGTCTTTTTTCCCCACTGTGGGTATACTAAAACTCAGGTCTGGACAGGTTCACGCTGGAAGGGCCACACAGCTGGTAGGCAGCAAAGCCCAGATTTAAACCCTAGAGTGATGAAGCCAGTAGGAACTATCCCTAAAATCTCTCTCCTGGATGTGCACAGAGGAGAGACCTAAGACCTTATTTGTGCCCACGGCCTGGTCCTTGTCGCTGAAGCACTGAGGCGTTAGCCAAGCAGTGGCTGGCCCTGAACCAACAACCTTCCTGACGGAGGAGTCCAGGAGGCAGAGCACCCCACGGACTGTCCTCTTTCTAATACATATTAATAATATAAGTCTCAGAGTGGTCGTGAGGATTCAGTGAGCCAGAATTTATAGCACGCAGCTCTGTGTAACTAATGTTCAACCAACAGCAGCCCCTTCTCCCCAACCAACCCTGTCTCCAGCCACCCTCACCGCCTTCCCCACAGTCCGTGGGAAAACATGATTGAAATATATACCTCATCAACAATTGATCCAGGAACCAGACCACTTCCCAGAGCACCCAAGTCCAATGCGGACTCCCTTCCCTAAGAGTTGGATGGCTGTAGGCCTTTAAAAGGCACTCTAGGCACTCTTGTATGACTCAGCTCCAAGGCAGGACCCCATATGGTGCTTATTACAAGTGAAATATATTTGAGGCCAGGCCTATTGTAGAACCTTCTGGCCTGCTAGCCCAAGTGTCAGTATGCAAATGGCCAAGACTCGTTCTTCTGCATTATGGGGTCCATCTAGATAAGTCAAAAGACATATCTTTGTGTACCTACTCTGCAACTATTTTAAACATCTATTTTATGACTCCGGGTAAACTGTTTAACCTTTCTGATCCTATCACAGTCCCTGGCACACAAGGCTCATTTGATAAACAGCAATTAGTATCTTATTACTATTACATGTCTCACAGGACTGTCATTGGGCTTTTAAATATACCAGGTGGATCCATCATGAATGGGATTAGTGCCCTTATAGGACAGCCTGCTTTCTCTCTCTCTGTTCAGCAAGAAGGTGACCATCTGTAAACCAGGAAGCAGAGCCCTCATCAGACACCAAATCTGCCAGTGCCTTGATCTTGGACTTCCCAAGTCTGCCAGTGCCTTGATCTTGGACTTCCCCAGCCTCTAGAACTGTGAGGAAATAAATTTGTTGTTGAAGCCACCCAGCCTACGGTATGCTGCTATAGCAGCCAAACTGCCTAAGATCCATGGTAACCAGACCCCAGGCTTAGTGATGGGGGTCCCCTAAGCAGAGTCAAACACGCTTCAGAGAATTCAGTGACAAAAAGAACAGAGAGTGGCCAGGCAGAGCTGCAGTGGAGCAAGAATCTAACATTGCTAATGTCAAATAAGTCATCTGAAAGTCCAAACTTTTTTTGTGAAAGGGGAGAATTAACTTCCTCGGGCAAAATCTCCAATTTACAGAACGATCAGGACCAATATCACCTCATTGAAAAGCACGGTTCAGATAAATTAAAATTAGCAATCAACCTTGAGAATTGTATTGGCAAGGTGGGAGTCATTTCACTCTATCTGAACTGTGACAGAAGATAACACATGTCAGTCTTCTCTGTCTTTCCCTTTATTAATCAATTAGGAGACCAAAAACTCAATTTAAAAAATCATATAAAAGGCTTATAAACATCATTCAGTTCTTCTTCAGTCATTTGTTTTCATTTGGTATAACTGGTTTTTCCATTTAAAGAAAATTAAATAAAATATGAGATGTTATTGTAATGGCTTAAGAGGAGATTTGGGGATTATACTTCTGAGAAAAGTGTTCTCCATTTCCCTCCTGTGTGTTTCTGGCATCCCAGCATCGCCTCCCAGCTCAGGAAGAGGCAGCGACAGAGTCCCCAGTGGCTGGCTGCAGGGTGGACACTGGCCATAGGGAATGAGAGACGGCAAGATCTCTGAGATCTTCTAACCACAGGGTATGGAGAGCTTCCCAGGGATAGAAATTTCTAACAAGCTCCATAGGGATTTCTGTAGCACATCAATGTGTGAATACTAGGATTCCTAACCATTCATTAACGAGCAGTAAATCCAGGATCATTCTCTCAACGGTCAGGAGTGTACACCTACGAACCTGCTAACCTTAGCTATTCTCACTTCACACTCATAACCTTTGTGAATGCCACTCCCCGGCATGGACTGCCCTCCCCTACAATAAGTCTTCTTTTCTTCCTGAAAGCTAATTGCTACCTGCCCAAATCCTACATATCCTTGAAAATAGTTAAATACCATTTCCACTCTTTTGTCTATGTAGCTTTCTTTGATCCTATCAGCTAGAAGTAATTTCTTCTGTGGCGAAATTTCCATTTAATTTAGGCTTTATTTGCATTGTCATTGCCTTCTATACTTTGCACTGTGGATATGAACGTGTACATTTCTCCTACATTGGAGGGCAAGCTTCCAGAGAGAAGAATCCACAGAGGATTCCCCTTTGTATCCACGGGACCCAGCACATGATCAGTGCCCTAACATTCCACAGAGAAGGAAATAAATAAGAAACAAAGGAACAAAGCAATAGGCAAGAATGTGTCCTTTCTGATAACTTTTATAGTTCTGTAGTTTGCAAAAACAAGCTGAGCTTGCTCCACAGACCATTAACATCTCTATATACACACTCAGCTTGCTAATAAAAGCACACTGAGGATTCTTAAAGGCCCTATAAGAAAGGTTTTATATCCTGGCTTTAGCATCTGTGGCATCTAAAACCTGAGAAGGCTATTCCTCGGAGGTGTCATTAGCTTTCTGTGTGCCCTCAAAGGCTCAAAGACAATTTGCTGGACTCCTCTAAGAATGCTAGTTTCTTTCCAGCCACTGCAAAATACATCTTAGCGACCGCCAGAATTGTCATTTGCTTTCTATGCCTTCAAAAGCACTGTGAGAAATAGAGCCCCGTGCTATTACTGGCACTGTTGGTTTCCCTATGTAATTTCAAAAGGGCCCTCCAAAATCGCTTTGTATGTGCGGTCTCTGTGTGTGTGCATAGTGACGCCAAGATTATTTTTTCCGTCGAAATGTCTTGTCCACAAAGCCTACACAATTTTTGTCTAATAGCTTCCCAGTGAAAGAATGTCGGAGGGGAAAATATCCAAGCAGCAACAACTCTTATTTCATCCACACCAACAGAAAGAGAACAATGATCACAATGCCCTCAGATCTGAAATAATATTCACATACATGTTAGAGCTTAACATGTCTAGAATCCCCCAGTGGGGATCAACATGCAGTCAACATTCTCACCGAGTAATACCATTAGTCGGGGCACAGGGAAGTTAAAGATAACTTCCCCTGAAAAGTTGTTATCCTGTATGATAGAATAATGAGCAGTCTCTAATTCACAAAGTTGCTGAGAAATGTTCCACACTGTCAGTATACAGTGTTTCTCAATGGAAGTACTACTGGCATTTGGGGCAGAAAAATTCTCTATTGGTGAGGATAAGGGACTGCCTGACAGTCTGATGAATGTTTAGCGTCCTTGATACATCCAATAGCACTCCCAGTCATTAAGATGACCAGAAATGCCCCTTCAACATCCCACCCATGTCTCCAATTATCCAGTTACTTCCAAGGGATGTAGGTACTGCTAGCATATGGATGGATGGGGATAGGTGCACATACAAACTCACACTTTAATATCCAAGTTGCTTCTATATATTTTATGTCACAGGTTTTATATATAGATATGTATGTATTCATATTTATCATTACGGAGAGAGAGAGGAGAAATATGGGGAATGGAACTACTATTTGCTGAATGTCAACCCTGTGCAAGCCAGACACAGAGTTTGCACAAGTATAAGCTGGTTTGGACAGATTCAACTCAGCCACTTACAAACACAGAATGTCTTTATTTTTCCTAATAACTGGTATCTTTGCTTTTTTGAACCTCCAGGGGCTCAAGGATGGAGGAATAAAGAGAGAAAACCTAAGCCTGTAAGAACAGCATTCCCACCCCTTCTGATCTGCACAGTCCAACCCATGCATGCTGTGCTCTAAGCCTGCATGAGAATCAGGCCTCCTCCTGAGCTGGTCTTCCCCTTCTCTTCCTCAAGGTCCTGCTTGGTGCTCTCAGTTTCCCTGCATCAGAGGCTGCAGGGCAAGAGAACAGGTGTCTGCTCAAGGGTGAATCAAGGAAACTCATTATTCCAAGAAATTATTTCACCTCATCACTTTATATTTATTTTATTTCATTTAACTTTCTGAATAACCCTGAAAGATGTAGACTTTAATTCTCATTTTTCAGGTCAAGTCCATTTTCCAAGTAGGAGAGCCAAAGGTTTTCACCCTGAAGCCCGAGTTTGTTTCTCTTTACATCCTTGCCTTTACGATACCATGCTACCACTACCAATGATAGTCATGCAGAATACCAATCATGTCCAGGGGTGACCAAGACAGCAAAGAACCTACAGCAAACTCATTTCAGATCATCTGTTAAAAAACAGAGTCTCCGTCAGTCAGAAGCTAGAGGCATAAGATATTCTGGATGATGGAATCATCAATTAGCCACCACTGCCTCTATTTGCATAAAATAGAACTGCGAAGAGTTGAGATACCATCTTTACCCCTCAAGGGGCTTGCAAACTCTTGAGAAAATTAAGAGAGAAAGCATATTATATAGCGTAAAGGGTTAAGTAAGGCTGACAGTAAAGGCATGTACAAGTTTACCAAGGAGACTGAATGTCTTCCTAAACTCCTCTCCTGGAAAAAATCAACCTAATATATAATAACAAGCTTTTGATGATTCATTCTACTATGTCCATTGCAACGTAAACATTTAGTAAATATCTGTTGCATGAATGAATAGATGAGGTCATGAAGAGTACCTCTGATGAAGAGTTGAATAGAAAAGAAGTTTTAAGCAACTCTTCCGTGCTCTCTAAAAGATACACTACTGTAGCTGCTGTCCGTTCTGGAGACTCACCTACATCTGGAATATCACATGGGCAGCATCACCCTCATGAAGTGCACACACAACAAAGCCAAGCTAAGAGGAGTGTGCTGAGTAGCTTGTTTTCCAGGCTGGGCTACTAGTGAGCCTACACCAGCCTCAGCTGTGATGCCCCAGGAGAATGATACATTAATAGGAGTCACAGAATTTCGAATATCCTAGAAACAGACAAAGTCAGATATGGCAAATCCAGCAATGTATATGATCCTGAACGTGTTTATGTTCACATCTGATCATCACTGGAATTTAGACAGAATTTTTTTTTTTTTTGAGACAAGAGTTTTGCTTTTGTCGCCCAGGCTGGAGTGCAATGGTGCAATCTCGGCTCACGGCAACCTCCGCCTCCCAGGTTCAAGTGATTCTCCTGCTTCAGCCTCCTGAGCAGCTAGGATTACAGGCCTCCACCACCACGCCTGGCTAATGTTTTGAATTTTTAGTAGAGATGGGGTTTCATCATGTTGGCCAGGCTGGTCTCGAACTCCTGATCTCGGGTGATCCACCTGCCTCGGCCTCCCAAAGTGCTGGGATTACAGGTGTGAGCCATCGCACCTGGCCTAGACAGAAACTTTTTAAAGGTCTCTTGAAAAATAGAAGGAGACACAGAGAATGCACAAGATCCGCAGTTCTCCTCTCTGGAAATGCACCACGGTCACAGGTGGGTCCACAACTTGCCCCACTGTGAAACACTGCCCCAGGAGAAACACTGCCCTGGTGGCACATTCACGTACACAAAGAAACCACCCCACGTGAAGGCAATAAAAAATCCATTCTTCCTGGAGGTCTGAAAAAAAAAATACTTGAAGTTTCAAAACACCATCAAGATAAAAGGATGAGGTTTTCATATCTGCATGCCTTTACTTGCACTCATTCAAACTCTGGCATTTTAAAATTACCTATTTCTTCTACTTAACCACAACCATTTGAATTTTGATCAAGTTAGCTAAGGTAACCCAATTCTCTTTTATCCATAAATATAACTAGTACCTTAATCCCAATATCAAATATCCATTGATGGATTGGATGTTAAATAGTAAGCTACAGGAAGGATCTCTGGAAAACATTAATGTATCATCCTCCACTCATTTCATCTGAGTGACTCTAGTCCAGTGAGGCAAAGCTAACCAGTAAGATGACCACCAGCATGATCTCTGAACTGAATTCAATAATAAGTAGGTTATGCAAACAAGGATGGTTACAAACAGCTCAGAAGCTGTTTCTCCTTCATCCCTTTGTACTCCATATAGATTTAATTCATGTATTCATTTGTTTACAAAACAAGCCACACACTGTAAAAAGAAGAAACAAAATTGAACATAGTCCGTACCCATTTATGCCTGAGGTTGCAATTTTTTGAATTTTTGCAAACAGACCTTGGCGATGACCCTGAGTAGGATACAAATAACTCCCACATGCTTAGCGTTCCAATAATGGAACACTTGGCAAAAATTAAGAAACTTGAAGAGTAAAGAAAAAAAAATTCTAGGCAATCTCAACAGATATCCTACAGAGAGGACCAAGCACACCAGAGTTTGCAAGAAGGACTAAGAATACAAAGTTATGAATTCTAGAGAAATGTCTGGTAGTATGTTCGCCAGAATGTCATCTGTAGTTAACTCTAGAGCAGGGGTCCCCAACCCCTAGCTAGTGGACCAGGCTGTGGCCTGTTGGGAACCAGGCCGCACAGCAGGAGGTGAGTGGCAGGTGAGCGAGCACTACTGCCTGAGCTCCGCCTCCTAACAGAGCAGTAGCAGCATTGCATTCTCATAGGAGTGCGAACCCTATTGTGAACTGCATGTGCAAGATATCTAAGCACGTGTGCACTCCTTATGAAAATCTAGGCTGGACATGGTGGCTCATGCCTGTAATCCCAGCACTTTGGGAGACCAAGGCGAGTGGATCACTTGAGCTCAGGAGTTTGAGACCAGCCTGGCCAACATGGCAAAATCCCACCTCTACTAAAAAATACAAAAATTAGCCAGGCATGGTGGCAGACGCCTATAATCCCATCTACTTGTGAGGCTGAGGCACGAGAATTGCTTGAACCCAGGAGGCAGAGGTTGTGGTGAGCAGACATCATGCCACTGCACTCTAGCCTGGGCGACAGAAGACCCCATCTCAAAAGAAAAAAGAAAGAAAGAAAGAAAATCTAACTAATGCCTGATGATGTTAAGTGGAACAGCCGCATCCTGAAACCATCGCCCCTGCCCCCAGTCTGTGGAAAAACTGTCTTCCATGAAACCAGTCCCTGGTGCCACAGAGCTTGGGAACTGCTGTTCTAGAGGATGAAATTTTGGAGTGATTTTTACTTCCTTTGCATTTCAGGTACTATTTTACTTCATTCATAGAAAGCTTGTATCATTTAACAAAAACAATACGGTATTTAAAAAAGAAGTAACTAAAACCATCCATTTTGCCCATCATCTTCTTTCACGTTGTCTGGCTTCAACAACTGTGACCTAAGATACAACTCATCTCACCAGGCAGTATTCATTAATGTGTTAGTTACAATGTATTAATTAGAAGAACCTTGAATTTTTACCCAGGGGATAGTCCTCCAAGAAGAGAATGAAAGTAGCATGATTTCCACGGTTTTCCCTGCTTTCCTTCTAAAGATGGAGAAGTACAGAGCCTTGCCCTAAAAGTTGGCTGAGTTCTGTAGGAGACTCTGACATTCGGTGCCTTTGATTAATCTCAAATCATAAAAGTTGTGACCAACGCCTTTTAAAGCAGTTAGTGGTTTTGTCTTAGTGTAAAATGGCCAAAAGGCACTAGGAGCCTAATAAAGGATGACGCATTGTTGTGAGTAATAACAGGTATTGGTATCAATTTCTGTGATTGAACTTCTGGTCATCAACAAATGATAGCAATGGTTAAGATACTGCATCTTCTATTGTGCAATACCTTTGTGGACCAATTCCATTTTGAACTACCACCACAAACATTTAAGAGGGAAAACTTTCACGAGAGACTTTCGGCTGACTATGGTACCAACACAGAACATCTCTGTCATCAGCGCTGCTCAGTGGTTCCCGCTATACCTGCAGGATCAGGTTCAAGCTCCTTAGCCCGGTTCAGGAGCCTGGCCCCCAATGTTCTCAGCCTCATCTCCCACCACAGTCCATGTGCTTCTTCCGTCCAGTTGCAGCCAGCAGGTCCAAACTGACTCCCTCTGGCCCTGGTACCACTGCACAGGTGATTCTCACTCCTCAGTGTCCCCCTTCTCTCCCCTCTTCTTCTCCATAGCTAACTCCTGCTCCTCCTTCCAGGCTTGGGTCAAGCCTGTGACTACCTGGGCTCACTTTTCTACCAAGATTTTGATCTGTGCCACCACACCACTCTGCAAGAAACTCCCCAAGCCTTAGTCATATGGATGTCCCAGTATGCTGGGCTACACACAGAGGAAGCAGAGAGTACATGTCTTTGGAAAGAATGACCTAGCCAGAAAGTTGTCCCCTACTCCCCAAATGAGGCACCTGGCAGCCGTCACACCCATTACAATGTTCAAGCACAATTACTGGACATATCCTCAAAATCTGGAAGTCTTATCACCACATGCCTTGCGGAATCGCTAATGACAGACACAGAGCAACTAGTGTTTCATCAAGAAGATGGAACAGGTGAATTGCATCAAAGCACCTTAGTTTGAATTCTGTACTTTCTTTCAATCTTACTATTTAATGTATCTAGTTAATCATACAGTGAGTTATATTCCAAAATAATGTTCTCTACCTTTCTAAATAATAAAATACATCTTCCCAGTACATAAACCAATAGCTTTATTTTTAAGGTAGAACTGATGTGAAATTACATGTCATGAATTATTCATATTACCCAATTTAATTCAATTATTTTTACTGAATTCATATCTAATCCATAAAAATGTTTAACTCAACCAAAAAAAAATCATCTCTGCATCCTCGAATAATAGATTTCTTGCAAAATTTCAGGAAAGATAAGTGGATATTTGGTTTGAAATGGCAAGGCATACTATAATTGCAATGATGAAAATAATTTTAGCTATTTAACCATACATCCTGTTCTATTTACTGACTGGTGTCTCATAAAGGAAACTTATTTAATATCAAAGTAGAATCATAGGAGCAAGAAGTGAGTCCTAGCTCCAATTATGGCACCAGTCACTTTTAGAATTTTCCATAAGAGTCACACGGATAGCAGACAGATGCCTCCTCAAATGGGAGCAGATATTCTGCTAATCAAAAGCACAAATTTTGTGCTTACAGAAAAACGGGTCTGGTTTGCCCCAAAGAAATCATACAGGGGAAAACCACCATTCCCCTCTCCTTAGGGAAAAGCCCTTTGAGGCCCATGCCATTATACCACACTCACTCCTCAGCCTCTCTCTCGCCTGCCAATCTTCTTGGAGCTGTCACCATATTTATCAATGGCTTTGCCAATGATCTCCCTGTCCACTTATCTATCACAAATCTTGGCAGTTTGGGGTGGTCTCAATGTCACCAAAGAAGGTCTTGAAACCCCTTTGCCTCTGTGTTTCTAGATGTCTTCTGATCCAGTGGTCTTTATCACTTCACTTACACCACCCAAGGCTGCAGCCCCACCCACACCAGAAGCCCCTCGACCTCTGCAATCCCAAGGTCAAAGGGCCATTCCCCAACCTCAGCCTCCCAGAACTTCTACTGTCTTCACACCTACTCCTCCCTGATCTCATCGAGACTTCCACTTGAGGCTGCAGTGAGCTGCGATTGCACCACTGCACTCTAGCCTGGGTGACAGAGTGAGACCCTGTCTCAAAAGAAGAAGAAAGAAAAAAAAAAGCATAGACCAATGGATTGGAATAGAGAGCCCAGAAATAAGGTTGCACACCTACAACAATCTGATCTTCAACAAAACTGACAAAAACAAGCAATGAGGAAAGGACTCCCTATTCCATAAATGGTGCCGGGATAACTGGCTAACCACATGCAGAAGATTGAAACTGGACTGATTCCTTACACCACATAGAAAAAGTCAACTCAAAAGTAAACCTCAAAACTATAAAAACTCTGGAAGACAACCTATACTGCCCTGAACATAGGAATGGGCAAAGATTTCATAATGAAGATGCCAAAAGCAATTGCAACAAAAGAAAAAAATTGACAAATGGGATCTAATTAAACTAAAGAGCTTCTGCACAGCAAAAGAAACTATCAACAGAGTAAACAGACAACCTACAGAATGGGAGAAAATTTTTGCAAACTATGCATTTGACAAAGGTCTAGTATCTAATAAGAAACTCAAACAAATTTATAAGAAAAAACAAAACCCCATTAGAGTGGACAAAGGGCATGAACAGACACTTTTCAATAGACAACATACATGCAGCCAACAATCATATAAAAAAGAAGTTCAACATCTCTGATCATTAGAGAAATGCAAATCAAAACCACAATGAGATACCATCTCACACCAGTCAGAATGGCTATTACTAAAAAGTCAAAACATAACAGATGCTGGTGAGATTGTGAAGAGAAGAAAACACTTACACACTGTTGGTGGGAATTAGTTCGACCATTGCGGAAAGCAGTGTGGCAATTCCTCGAAGAGCTAAAAACAGAACTGCTATTTGACAGAGCAGTCCCATTATTGGGTATATACTCCAAGGAATATAAATCATTCTCCTATATAGACACATGCACATATATGTTCGCTGCAGCACTATTCACAATAGCAAAGATGTAGAATCAACCTAATGCCCAATGACAGAATGTAAAAAGAAAATGTGGTACATATACACCATGGAGTACTATGCCACCATAAAAAAGAACGACATCATGTCTTTCGCAGCAACATGGATGGAGCTGGCGGATATTATCCTTAGCAAACTAACACAGGAACAGGAAACCAAATACCTCATGTTTTTACTTAGAAGTGGGAGCTAAATGATGTGAACACATGGACACAAAGATGGGAACAAAAGACACTGGGGCCTCCTTGAGTGTAGAGGGCAGGAGGAAGGACAAGAGCAGAAAAAATAACTATTGGGGTGCTAGGCTTGGTATCCGGGTGACAAAATAATCTGTACAACGAACCCCCGTGACACAAGTTTACCCATTAAACAAACATGCACACGTATCCCTGACCTAAAAGTTAAAAAAAAAAACACAAAAAAATACTTCCACTGCCTCAGCCCCACTGTACTCTGGATCCACTTACATTCCTAATCAGACCACAGAGCACAATTCATCATTTACATCACAGTTTTGTTTTTTAAAAAACAATCCAGAAATCCTTTCTTTTGAATACTTTTGTGCCATGACTTGGGGACAGCTTCCACACTCAGCTCCTTTCTGCTGATCCTCACAAAGTATGCTTCTCCAGGCGGGTGCTCCCGCTGAGCCTGGTGCCTTTTTCTTTGGCTTCTTGCACTGAGCATTTTCCTCCACAGGTTTCAGGAACCCACCTCAGCCCTTAGGATGCTTCACATGCTAGACATGTACATCAATTCTCATGGCGAGAATCTTGCCCTCTGCTTGGTTACAACAACACCAGCAGCATGCTGGGTAGCTCTGCAGACCCTTCCAGCTTTGCCATGGTGACAGGACAGATATGTGGTGCCCCTTCCCTGAAGAGTTACAGGACCGCTGTTCTTGTAGATCCACAAGCATGCGTGTGGCCAAAGGCACAACCCCATGTTTTCTAAAAGTCCTACAAAACATTTACACAGTGGCTCATGCCTGTAACCCCAGTACTTTGGGAGCCCAAGGAAGGAGGATCACTTGAGGCCAAGAGTTTCAGACCAGCCTGGGCAACATAACAAAACCCTGTTTCTACCAAAAAAAAAAAAAATTAAAAATTAGTTGCGTATGGTGGTGTGCACCTGTAGTTCCAGCTACTTGGGAGGCTGAGGTGGGAGGATCGCTTGAGCTTAGGAGTCTGAAGCCGTAGTAAGCTATGATCATACCGCTGCATGCCAGCCTAGGCAAACAGACCAAGATCCAGTCTCAAAAAAAAAAGAGAGAGGGAGAGGGAGTAAGAAAGAAAGAAAACATAGCAGGTGCCTCTCTTCTTTCCCTTCATGTTCATCACATAGGCAAATTAATGAAAAATGGCAATTCTGGCCAAAAGGCTTAAGTCACTTTTAAATCATTCTTGCCCAAACTCAACTCTCGTTTCCCCTTAAACCCCTGCCACACCTGCCCCCACAAAATCCCCATCCTGGATCGCTCTAAGCAACTATTTTTGCACTTCTACGTCAGCCTGCCAAGCACTGCAAAAGAAAGTCGCACAGTTGTTTAGGTAGGTGGGGGCCATGACAAAAATCACAATCTCCAGCCTCAGGTGGATGCACGGTCAGTGCTGCCCACAAGTCCTTCTCCAGGCCCTAGCCAGCAACCTCCCGTTCCCCTGCCAAGTTATCTATTTCAAGCTGTCTTCACGGTCCTCAGGCTCCCACCCCCATCATTTCACTGCTCATTCCTCCCTCACAGAAAAATTGAGAAACCATCAAGGTACAGTCTTAATTTTTTGCCTACCATCGACAAACTTATTGTTGTCAAGATCATCCTTACTGCCAGCTTTAAGGGATGAGGAGCTGTCTTATCTGTACCCATTTCAAATGGCATTTTTTAAGTGACTACCCTTTATTAACTTTTTCTGAAATGTTTGACTTAATTTTAACGCAAACGAAAGCTTTTTATTTTGCATCTATATTTCACTGGTTCACTTAAAACGTAATTAAATTGTATAAATTTAATTACTAACAACTGACATAAAATGATTTGGGAACACACACAGGAGACTCTTGGTAAACATGCAAATCATGGACGTGTACAGGTGCACAGAGACACAGCCAAATAAGCCGAAACCATGTAGGCTAGCCAGCCCAGCAGCCACAGCGTTTGGAGAGAGAACAAGGCTTCCCAATTAACACAGTGAGTCTGCAAGGGCAGGTCAGTTAAGAGCTTCCATTAGATTCACCAGGCTTCGCTTTAATTATACGATTTGTTTACATGATCATCTCCCCTACTGTATTCTAACTCCATGCCTTCTCATCTGGGTATCCTGAGCACATCCAGCATAGTTCCAAGAAATTCTTGATGTTCAGCAAATATCCGAATGTAATTGAACTGAACTGAATTGACGTGAGGTAACGCTGGATAAAACATAAGAATCCAAAACATTTTAGCTTAGTATTTTGGAAGTGACTGAGCCATACACAGACAGCTGGTCCTTAAATCGTGGTGTCACTACCCTTTTGTACATGTTCTAGGGTGCCAGTGTCAGAAACCAGACACGGATGGGCAAATTACAGGTCTTAGAGTGATACCTCTTCCAAATAACAGAAAAAGCACTCTTGCTCACCCAATGAGAATCCCATATCCTTCCTATTTGGTACAATCACAAAGTGATTGTTTCCAAGCTCAGCAGGGCTCTCAACATGGCTGAGTACGACTCTTGCCGGTGCCTAATCAGTCTTTCTGCAGGACAGTCTCTGTGTGCTCTGCTGGGACCACTCTCTATCCTGTTGCACGACCTGTATCAATGGGCTCCCTTGAACTCTGGTTTCTGTTGGACTTGGCCAATGGGATACACTGATGGGAGACTCGGTATTTCTTCCCCCAGCCCTCTTTCCACAGTTTGGCAGTGGCTGAGTTCCTCTACTAAAGGGCACAATTCCTACAGGGCGACCCTCTCCTATATCACGGTTCAATACTTGTCATTGCTCTCTTCTTGCCCCTTTTTGGGTCTAGGCATGGTAAAGCTTCAAAGCTCTCTGCCAGCTCTTGTTGGTTTCTCTTAATCCTGACCACACCTTTGTAAATAGTGTCTTCCTTCAGCTTTCTCCAATTATCCCTCTTAGGTACATTTCTGCCAGGACCCTGACCAAGGTAGTCCCTTTGTACACCAGAGAGATAACCCCAGCATTGTTCTCAGTACTCTACTCGATTATAAGACGTCTCCCCCACCACCTCATCTCTCCTCCCTTACGACTGTCTTCACTGACAACCTGGTGCTCTCCAATAATCATGCACATGCTGTACTTGATCACTCAATGCTTGTGTCTTTTGTCACAGCATTTCTTTGAATGGTTTTCTCTCCCAAAGGGCAAGGCTGTGCTTTAATCATCTTGGTAACCCAAGTGCTGATCAGCGAACCAAATACACACAGAAATACCTTGCGCCCTGGTTGCTTTTCTGTGCTAGAATCACTCCAGACTTCAATCATCAGCCTGCTACAAGCCACTCCCAAGCCTGGGACTTAATCGCCAGCAGAAAGCACGTCCACATGTCCTCTGTTACCTCCTCTAGATGCTAAGGAATGTGACTCCAAGAAGATTCAAATAGCAGGATCCTACAGCGTTCTGCCATCATCTTATTCAACAAAAGTCTTCTGTCGGACAAAGACCCATTCATATTTCATTATGAAGATAAGCATTTTATGGACAAATTATACAGCAATATTAAAATATACCTGAAACAATATCCCAGATAATGGAGTTAATGGCTTTAATTCGCTATCACATGTTTAGAGAGTTCTTGTGTAGACACAAGCTATGAACTATGAGAAGGCAGAAGAAAAGTCTATGCAGATATACAGAAGGCTAAAAGACATACCCTAGATCCATCCTGCTCACAGGGGATTCCACGTCCCAGGGAAGGCGGGGAGGGGTCCCTCCTCCTAAGTCTCCAGAACCTGCCTTCATGAACGCTGAGATCATCTGCAGGGGACCAGACCAGCCCGGGCTGGACCAGGAAAGCCAAGAATTGTTGCCTTCCCATATTCCACATTCCCATATGCCTTCCCAATGTCCTCTTCCCAAAGAACCCCTGTATCCTACATGTTCTAGCACAAGCCTAGAGACAAATTCTGCCTTGGGTGGGAATTGGGGTAGCTTAGAAAAGAGTGCCACATTGGAGGTAACAGAGGAGCTGGTTTTGAGGGACGTGTAGAAGTCCACCAGCTGTTGAAGATGAGGCCAGGCGTCCTCAGAGGAGAGAACAGAAAGTGCCAAGGCCAGGGGCAGCGGTAAGGAGCACACGGCACACTGGGGAAGAGTCAAATGCTGGAGCCCAGGGTGTGGGCGGAGCGGTGGGAGATGAGGACACCCAGATGGCTTGGGGTCAGGTTCTGAAGAATGTTGGGTACTAGGCTCGAGTTTGGACTCTATGGTGGGGGAAATAGAGAGCCCCTGACAGTCTTTAAAGAGGGGAGAGATGGATCAGGCCTGTAGCATTTCCTCAGGGAGGTTATAAAGCAGATACAGAGGTACAGACACATCTTCTGTGCTTATTTATGTCATGGGGCCTTTGCACATAGTTGGAGCCATGATTTACATAGCTGTGCTTCCCCATAGCACTTCCCATGGTTCACTGCACGCAGCTAACACTCAGCCTATGTTTGTGGAATAAATGAATGAAAGAGTCATTATTATCAAGTCTCTCCTACAATCAAGGATATACTCCAGTGACTGATTATAGCTGCCAAGGCTATATGGGCAATGAACTAAAAACATTACTCCAACATGAGAAAGAGGAATCAGAAAAGCCACGGTGAATGCTCCAGCTCTGCCAACCACCATCAGCCCAAGGGGAGAATGAACACCCAGGGAAAAGAAAATCGCCAAAACCTTACAGTGAAATCCTATCAACACCTTTGATTTGGTGTCTGTATCTTTCCTGACTGATGAAAATTAAACCTCTCTCAGAGTGATGAACGGTTTCTTATGTTTTTGTTTATGTTCTACCTTCAGCATCTCCTGATCAAGATGAAAGGTTACATTTGTGTTGATTTGGGCAAGGAAGTTGGGACCCAGGATTTTTCTTCATCACAGTAATCAGGGATTCATTCATGACTGAAAATGAGAGTAAATTTAGGGTTTCTCTGACAATATTTCCTAACTGGTTCATCAAAGGAAACAGAGTCCAAGTTCTTGAAAATTAAAATATTTTAATACTAGCAAGTAATACTCACAGCTATCAAAAAGACCCTGAAATGTATTTGCTTGATCTTTCAGTAAATGGGCAAGTCCACATATTGTTTTCACTCTCATCAGTACCATCAAATTACAGACTATCTATATCTATATATAAAAGATACTTAATTTGATTTGTAAAAGACATGCTCCCAACAGCTAGGATTCATTCTAATACCCCACATAGAAACTTACATGTATATCAAGGAACTATTTTTCTCTGCTCCCAAAAGACGAGCCCCAAGTTCACACTTCCATGGGGACAAGACCAGCCCTGCTCCCCTTTCTATGCAGAATGCGGCTGACCAGAGAGCTGGATCAGGGCACCTGGCAGACCCAGTCTAGGGAAGAGCTGTGGATTTTTGAGGCTATGTTTGTTGCCCCTTCTAGGAATTTTCCCTTCATGATTCTTTTCCCTAAATGCCCAGTGCTCTGCTCCAACCTCTCTCCTCCCCCATCCCATGTTCCATCCTTTGTGACTTCTCTTCCCTCAAAAATCAAACCTAGGAACTCAACAAAGTAGGCATGCCTACTTAGAAGAACTCTAGGAATCTGACAGAGGCGTCTCTGTTTTAGGAGAGGACTCCTAGAAAGCATGAGGCCAAGAAATATGAGCTGCCATTTCAGGCATGCTCCTGCATAGTCGCTCTGGGCAGATGGATTTTCAGCTCCCTTCACATTATTCCATACAGTTAACCAACCATTTCACCTACATTTGAGCCTCTGCCTCAATATGGCCCAAATAAAACTCCATCTTGGAGTTTCACTCTTGTTGCCCAGGCTAGAGTGCAATGGCGCAATCTTGGCTCACCGCAACCTCCACTTCCCAGGTTCAAGCGATTCTCCTGCCTCGCCTCCCAAGTAGCTGGGATTACAGGCATCTGCCACCACGCCCGACTACTTTTGTATTTTTAGTAGAGACGGGGCTTCTTCATGTTGGTCAGGCTGGTCTCACACTCCCAACCTCAGGTGATCCGCCTGCCTCAGCCTCCCAAAGTGCTGAGATTACAGGCATGAGCCTGTAATCTCAAAACTCCATCATATGTAAAATCTACAATGCCCAGTGTGTTGGCAGACCCTGCTCCGTGCTCCTGCAGCATCCTAGGTGTCTATCGATGGCATGTATGTTATCACACGATATCCAAGTGATTTGTCTACTTATCTAGATGGCTACCAGCCTACAACAATCTGTAGAAGCCTCAAGGGCAAGGACCACCTCTTTGTTCTCTGTACCGCAGAGCGTAGCATGGCGTTCAGCATACAGGAGGTGCTCAAGAATTGCTTATCAAACGAATTACTTTTTACTCACTATGTGAAAAGAATGAACTATGTGATGCATTAATACTATAGTCCAGGGGGTGTCCAATCTTTGGGCTTCTCTGCGCCATATTGGAAGAAGAACTGCCTTGGGCCACATATAAAATACACTAACGATAGCTAATGAGCTTAAAATTTAAAAAAAATCAATGTTTTAAAAAAGTTTATGAATATGGGTTAGGATGCACTCAACAGCATCCTGGGCCACATGTGGCCCACGGGTTGGACAAGCTTGCCATAATCTAACTTGAGTTTTAGTGTCATTGGTTGCAAGGATGGTGCTTTCCTTTGACATGTAGCTTCAAGCCATGCACCATGAGGGCAGACCGCCAAGCTACCATTTCAGCAGCTCCAACTCAGAGCAGTGGTTCCAGCCACGATCTCACATCTCTGTCCCCTCGAGCCACCATGCGTGAATCAAGTGGGAGGTGAAGGGGACGGCAACTATTCTGGCCCTATGGTCCCCACCACAACCTGGTTTTATTCAAAAATTAGTATCTTGTTTTAAAAATGGATAGTGTTTACATTTTTGTGTGTTTTCTATTTATTAATTAATTCATTAAACAGTCATTGAGTGTGGACTGTGTCCTCTTCTAACTCTTCTTAACGCTGGGGATACAGCAGTGACTAAGATGACGTCCTTGCCCTGCGGGACCAGTGTATCCTCCTCAAATTCATCACGCAGATCCGTGGGCCCTCCTTAATCATGAATGGAAATCTCTTGTCTGCCCAGACTAGACAAACACAGCTCATGGCATCAATCTTTTAGAAAGCGCCACTGGTTCTGACCACTCTCTCCATCAAATCCTGTCTGAGAGTCACTGCATTGTTCCCTAGGGCCGTGTGGCAACAAATTACCACAAATCTGGGTCTTAGACACAGAAATTGATTTTCTCGTAGTTCTGGAGGCCAGAAGTCCAAACATCGAGGTGCTGGAGGGGCCCTGCTCCCTCTGAAGGTGCTAGGAAAGGATCTTTCCTTGCCTCCTCCAGCTTCTAGTGGCCCCTGCCATTCTTACTGTTCCTGGCTGTGGCTGCATCACAGCCAGCTCTGTCCAAGTCTTCAATGGCCTCTTCGCTGTGAGGCTGGTCTCTCTTCCATTCCACAAAATCTAACCCCATGACCGCAGTTACTCTTCTAGTGTTCTATGAATATATTTTTCTTCACAAATATTTAACTTCAAATTTATTGTGCTGTCAGCTGATGTGAGACAGGGATATAACTTTACATTTTTGACATAGTAAGCCAGTTGCCCAAAGCCATTTATGAAATTATCCTTTCACTTCTGACGAGGCAATGTCATCTCTATAATACATGTTCATGTTAACCTGGGACTTCTCTTTTGTTCCAGCAATCCACTGGTTTATTCCATTCCTAAAACTACACTGTTTAATAACTAATTTTATAGTATGTTTTAATATCTGGTAAATAAGTCCCTATCATTGTTATTGTTTTTCCCCCAAATATATCTTGAGTGTTTTCATGCATTTAAACATTCCAGTTGAACTTAATCATCATTTTAGCAAATCCTTCACAAATTTTTCACTGGGATTTCTGCTAGAATTATATTACATTTACATATGAGATTTTAAGAGAATTGACATCTTTACAATATTGAGTCTTTCATTAATTTAAGGCTTCCTTTCTTCCCTTTAGTAAATTTTTGTGGTTTGCTTTCCTTGGTCCTGCAAATTTCTTTAATTCAATCCCTGACCCGTCACTTCAATTATCCACTTGCCACCATCCTCAGCTACGTAAGACCTCTCTTTTTCCATAGAGCCTTCTAGCAAAATCCCAACTGTGGATCAATCTAAGTGCATCTTCAATATGCACACACTTGGAATGAGATACCACTTCACACCCGTTAGCATGGCTGTCATTTAAAAAATAATAATAACAAGTGTTGGCAAGGATGTAGAGAAACTGGAATGCTCATACATTACTGGTAGCAAAGTAAAATGATGCAGCTATTGTGAAAAACAGTTTGGACATTCTTCAAAAAGTTAAACATAGGTTGCCAAATGGCCCAAAAATTCCACTCTTACGTCTGGCCCCCAGATAATTGAAAACATATATTCACACAAGAACTTGTCCGCCAATGTTCACAGCAACATTATTCGAGATAGCCAAATACTAAAAACAACCCAACAGTAAAAAGAACCCAAATGTCCACCAACTGATGATGGATAAATAAAATGTCAAAATATGGTATGTCAATAAAATGGATTATTATTCAGCCATAAAAGGAATGGAATACTGATACATGCTGCAACATAGATGAACCATGAACACCATGCTAAGCAAAAGAAGCCAGATGCTAATGACCAGCACCACCTATTACATGATTCTATTTACGTGAAAGGTCCAGAATAGACAAATCCATAGACAAAAAGTGAACTAGTAATTGCCAAGGACAGGGGGAAGAGGAGAATGAGGAGTGAGTGCTAAAGGGTATGGAGTTTCTTTTGGGGATAATAAAAATGTTCTGTAATTAGACAGTGGTGATGGCCACACAATTTTGTGAATATACTAATAACCACTGAATTGTATAATTATAAAATGGAGAACTCTACAGTATGTGAATTAGATCTCACTAAACAATTAATAATCTTTTTTTTAAAAAAAAAAAACATGCAAATACCTGGGCTGCTTAAGGCTTCAATGCACAATCTCCTGAACTCACAGATTGGTGTCACCATAAATTAACAGTCTTCCACCTTTAACTGGGTACCCAACCAGCCTCCCACATTTCTCAGTCTGCTCTGTCTCATTCTCTTTCTTAATGGCCAGTACCCATTTTATTACCTACTTTATTCAAATCTCCAAGCCCACCACTTCTCACTGTCAACAATAGCATCATTCAAAGAAGAAAACTTCCCCAACATCCCATCACCAAACCTATGAACGTCAGTTCTGCACAATCCCCTCCTCCTACCCTCCCATTACAGGTAAAAGCTGTTTCCCCTCCTCTTTCAGGCTAACCCCTGTGCCCTTTATCCCAGTCTGCCATAGATCCTCCCTTCCCCCTTCTTTTAGATCTCCCAAATCAACTTTTCGCTCAGCATTTAAACACACACCTCCAAAAAAAAAAAAAAAAAAAAAAAAAAAAAAAAAAAAGACCTGTCTTCACCAAAGCCATGCCTCCCCAGCCCAGGTAGGGCTCCACCCTCTGCTTCCTCCTGAAGGGGCAGCCTATAAGCACCATATCCTGTCTCCACCTCCTGTCTTCCAGCACATTCACTCAACAAATTATTTAGTGAGCACCTACAGGGGGAAGACACAGTTCTCTACCCTGAGGATAAAACCATGAACAAGACTGACAAGCCCTACGCTCTTGGAGGATACCTGTGAGGTGATGGAGCTGCAGACAGAGAATATGCAAGGAGCCAACAGAAGTCACTGCAGGGGTGACACTGTTATGGACCAGCAGGGGTAAGGAGCCATGTTAGACGGGGTGGTCAGGAATGACCTCTCCTGAAAAGGAGACAACTGAGCCCAGACCCCCTGAGTCAAAGAAGGCAGCCATAAAAGTTCAAGGGTGAGAGCTCTTCAGACAAGGAATGGCTGCAGCAATGGGCCTTGAGGTCACCATGAGCTTGACAAGTTTGAGAAAGAGAAAAACTTCTCCAACCCCACCCCTGCAGGGCTCAGAAAGCCATGGCTATCATGTTCCCATAGGTCTCTGTGTTTTTCTCTGTCGTGGAATTTATATCACTACATTAGAGTTGCATATTTAATTGAATGTCTTCCCTAATATAAGTTTTACAAGACAGGGAGCTTAGCACATAGTAGGTGCTCAAGAAATATCCTTTCATGAGTATTCCATGTAATCACAGCATCTGACCATAATGACTCTTGCCTTTTTCCAGTATTTGTATTTCTTATTTCTTTATATTGTTTAATGGCATTAGCTACAATTTCCAAAACAAGGTTGAAGAACTGTGACTGTGGCAGGCATTTTTAACTGGCCGTGACTTTAGTAAGAATGTTAACAGCTTTTCCTAGAAATTCTCTATTATGTGAGAGAGGTAGCCTTCTATATCTCATTTACCAACAGCTTTTATTTCTTTATTTTTAAGAAAAAGTAGGTGTTGAATCAAACCAAATGGCTTTTGCATATCTATCAAGATGGTCAGTCTCTTTTCTAATGAATTAATAGACTGTATTACACTACTAGCTTTCCTAAGAACTATTCTTTTGTTTCTGGAATAAACCCTACGTGATTGTGGTGAGTTGCTCTTTTAAAATAAGGAGACAGCGCAGGACTGTGGATAAAAGCTGGGACTTGGGTGTCAGAGGTGACTACAAAATTAGAGAACAAAGACTATCTATTAGGATTAACAAATGGAATTTAAAACTAAGTCAAAAAAAAAACTGAGTCTTAAAAAGAAAAATAAAGAAGACAAACTTCTGGTAAATAAATCTCACCAAGAGCAGCCACAAAAACCCAACATCAGGAAGAAGCGCCTATGACCTCAGCTGCTGCAAGGACCAGCTGGTCCCCACTTGAGTGTCACCATCCTCCTCCGTTAATGACAGAATGTAAGCCTCACAGGGCAGTTGTGTGAGACCTACATGAGACAGCGTGTGTGACCATCTCACAGCACATAGCATGCTACCAGCTACCCAGGTGAACCAAAAGAAGTTCTCTCTAAAAACTGATATTCAATCTGCTAATATTTCCTTTAGGCTTTTGACTGCTCTTCTCATGCAATACTAGCCCAATAACATGAACAAGAACATTCCCATTCCTTCTATTTTCTGAAAGATCTCAAAATACCTAGGCATTCATATATTTTGCCTTTAAACCACTTGGAAATAAATGTGTTAACGCTATATAAGAAAAAGTCCCCAAAAAGGCCTGTCTGATGGTCCCTCCCTATGATAATTCCCTTACTGCAGGAGTGAAGAAGGGAAAAGATCGACAAATCATAAATGGAGTTAACCTGGGAATCTATTTTATCTGCCTCAAGAACCTAGCATCCTATTGTTTTGGCTTTCACAAACAAGACAAGAATAAGTGGCCCCAAGAGAGAGAAGACGCAGTGGTGTAGCATCTCAATGAGGGAGGGGGCAAGGGTGGAGGTTTGACTGAATGGAATGATTTATGTTCACAGACCACATAAGTGCTCTGGAGACCCGAACTTGTCATCCAGCACCCTGTTTGACATCATTCTCCACACATTCATGGACTGCCATCACCCAGCCATGTAATGGGTACCAAGAAATGACCAAAGCCAGGTCCAAATGATCAAAGTTGATCCACCCCGTCCCTGGATAACACGGAAACCCTTTTGTCCTACTGGGAGACTAAGATGCTACACTTGGTCAAATCAAGCACACAGGAAGTTCTGACACTTCCTTGACCTCCAACTAGGTCAGTAATGGTTCCACACTTGTCAGACAGAACCTACATAAAAATGTGACTTTCCTTTTTGCATCCCACTCCACAATAAAGAAATTGCTAGACTGGAGATGGTTAGGAGAAAAACCATGTAACTGAACCATGTCCTGTCTGATTGGTGGAATACAGAAGGGTCATTTTTGAAATATGTGAAAGGCTGCCACGTGTCGAAATTAGATTTTGTGCTGTATGACCCCAAAAGGTTAAAGGAGAAGCCACAGATGAAAGTAATGGATAGAAAGATCGCAGCACCACAACTCAACAGAATAACTTACCAAAGACAGCACAGGTCAGCCAGCCTGGGAGAAAGCGCGATCACTACTGTGAAAATCAAGACATTTGACACAGATCCTGCCAAGGAGATGAAGGATCAGAGAAGTGATTTTCTAGGTAATATTTAACTCATCCTCCAAATATGAGAGTCTGTGAAAAAGTACAGAAAACAATGAAAGAAAATCTTCAAAGGCACTTGCCAGACAATGACACAAATAGGAAGCGGTGGTCTTGTTTGCACTGTTTCTCCTAACTTAAATCATGCACCCCACTTCCAGCCAGCAGTGAGGCTGACTCAGTGGAGTCTCCTTTGGCCCCTGACAACCATGATATGCATCTTAGTGGGTAACAAAATGGGAGGGAGGCTGGAGAACAAGCCACAAATCTGGATAATCCACACTCTTGAAAATATCCAGAAATAATAAAGAATGGGGCAAAATAAAACCACCAAAGAAAACCTGCTCCAGTTATATGAACAAAACATCCACTGAAACAGTCCAAACCTTTCTTGTTTCAAACCCAGCTTCACAAAGATATTAATTAATTAAATGTGATGGTGTTAGCGTGGACAAAGAATCCAGATGTGGGCCTTGTGGAAGTCTGTGTCAGAACGCTGGGCAGAGGCTCAGTGAATGTCTGTGTGGGGCATGAACTGTGGCTGCAATCAGAGTGGCCTCCCATCCGAGAGCCAAGGACGGACTGAAATCTGGGATGTGGGGAACAAGAGGTGATACAGCCTACTAAGGGTGAACTTGCTAATTATGACGAAACTTTACATATGTGGAAACCAAAAACTGTGGCAACTGATCTTTCACAGACTAGCGGTGTTAAAACCCAGAGCCTAAGGCCATATTCAGACTGGTTTTGGACCACTGCGTGGTATCACTTGATCACTGTCCTGAACAGTTCAACAAACTGTGAAAAAAAGACATCAAACAACCATCATGAAATGAATGACTTCATCTCCTCATTAAAATGCTTCATCATATAAACTAAACTACTATCAGAAATAAAGTTTCTTCAAAAACAGTGTGATATAGTTTCAAAACACTTAAATTCCAATGCTAAAAATACATCATAAGAAAAAAGACTGGGCACAGTGGCGTACACCTATAATTCCAGCACTTTGGGAGGCCAAGATGGGTAGATCACTTGAGTTCAGGAATTCGAGACCAGCCTGGGCAACATGGTAAAACCGTCTCTACCAAAAATACAAATAATTAGCTGAGTGTGGTAGGTGCGTGCCTGTTGCCCCAGCTAATTGGGAGGCTGAGGTGGAAGGATCGTTTGAGCCCGGGAGATGGAGGTTGCAGTGAGCCAAGACTGCATCTCTGCACTCCAGCCTGGGTGACAGAGTAAGACCCCATCTCCAAATAAAAAAAAAAAAGAAAAGAAAAGAAAAGTAAAAAAAGAAAGCATTTGTGCTCTTTAGCATCTTAGTACTCTAATATTGATTTAAAACACATTAAAATTAAGCACTAGGTAAAAAAGGGTTAAAACAGATTTAGCATATGATGTCAAATATGGTTCCTGAGCCAAAGTGCTTTTTTTAAAGGCAGGCACTATATGCATTTTATCTCCTGGACTTAATTTGTGTTTTGCTATGCTCAACAATTTTAATGCCAAGAGGAAGAAACTAAGTGAGAAAGGGAATGCGCTGGCCAGAACCTAGAGAGTTGATCTAATTGAACTGAAAAACTTAAAACCCTTCTCCATCTGTTCAGTACACCTGCTGATGGAGCACTAGCCCAGGTAGGGAGGAAATCCATCAGAGGCCAGTTATAAATAGACTTTTATTTCATCTGCTAAGAGCTTGGCAGCTGAGGTGGGAGGGCTGCCTACATTGGCAGCCAGGCAGAAGCTCTGGGCTGCTTTTATGTTGAGGTAAAAGGAGTGGAGAGACAGAGAACTAAAAAAAAAAAATTTCCCAACAACTCATTTGACAACCAACCACCAGTCATTAGTTTGTTTAAAACGTGCCAGGCATTTCTGATAAGTGCTAGAGACCTGCAAAGATCCATCACACCCCCTCGTGAGGACTGCACAGAATCTAATGGGAAACAGCCTCGCCAATTGCTCACAGGCCAAAGTTTCTACGTGCAAACTTCCTCGGGGTGTTTATAAAATGAATCAAGAGAAGAGGGCATGAATAATATGACAGTGCCTTAACTTTCTGAGGATGGGGTCAATGTAAACTCTAAATGTACCAAAATATAAATCAGGAAAAAAAAGTCTTTGTGGAAGAGAGGAACCAGCAGTTCTAATCCACAGACTATCGCAAGGACTGTAACTGGCAGGTGACATTCAGGCTCCTCCTTCTAGGTGCAAGTCAGTGGGAGTCACTCCTCTTCACATCCCATCAGCCACTAGGGTGGTACCTCCCACCTAATGAGGGCTCAACAAACAGGAGTTAATGTGAATGAATCAACAGCCAGGGAAATCATGAAAGGATCTTGCCCTGTGAGTGAAAATGGAACCAATGGGTATCTCCAGGAAGGCCTGATGTGAATGTTTGCAACAGAGACTTAAGAACAAACGTCAGAGATTATATGTCCAAATAGAACCACTGAGAACGGGGGTGTAAAGGAGAAAAAATTTATATTTCTCTCACTTGCAGAAGTCTGGGCTAAGGGAGGCCTCCCTCATACCCTTCAGGAACATTAAGTATATTATCAAGAAGACAACGACCCCTATATTCTGTCACCACCAAGGACAACAAAAGAAATGGGAGTGATTGGTGGGAAGGGACAGCTGGGTTAAATATGAGGAAGAATTTCCTGACAGCAAAGGTCATTAAACACTGTAAAGGCAAACTAAAGGAGATTAGGGATGCTCTCTCTGGAGGTCTTTAAAAAGTAGAATCACTTAGCAATATCCGGGGATAATTTAGGTACAGTTCTGCCCACTCCTCTGGCCTTTTTCAGTGCTCTAATTCATCCCCTGGCCCGGACAAGACAGGCTCACCACGGTAAACTACTGTCACACTCTGTTCCATAACAAGCTCTCAGAAGGAGAATAAGCATTAAGAAAATGACGAAAGCTCTCTTGGAAGTAAAACTCATTTTTCTTTATTTAAACAGCATGTTGGGTTTTTGTGGTTTTCTTTTGCTTCTTTTTCCTTTTTTAAAAATGCTTACATACAGAAATAGCTAAACAAAACTCAACTACACTGATCTGTTATTGAAAAGCATTAGAAGGAATCCAGGTGGAAGATGAAACAGGAATGTTCTGAGTCAGAGACGCACAGAATATCTCATTATGGACCTCTTTGCTAGGCACTGAGTACGAGTACCACAAGGACTGCTGCCCAGAGATTCTACCATCTATTTCTCAGGAGGTCAGAAAAGGAGATTTTCATCGGTTTGGTTACAAGGAGGCAAACTAAATGACCTCTAAGACACTAAAACTCTAGAGTGTTTATTTTTCAGAGTGCTATACTTAAGTGTTAAATTAAAAAAAAAAACACTCATGAAACTCTCATATTCTGAAAGATCCATGTTCTCTAAAAAATGTGAATTTTGATTCTCCCTCTGAGTTGCAGAGGGACAAGAAGGTGAGGAAAAGCAGGATCCTTTCTCCTCTCCTAACAGTCACTGCGCTTGGCCACATTTACTGATCTGTAGTCCTTCACCACTGTATCATCAGCTGGGTGATGGCAGCGGTTATCTGTGTTCTATCCATGATGTGGCCTCATCACTCAGCACTGAGGGACTCAGAGACTAAATGAATAATGGGCTGACAGCTGCATGGATGGACGGATGGGGTAGATGGTTGCGTAGGTGGGTGGGAAGGTGGATAGATGGGGTAGGTGAATGGGTAGGTGGGTAGAGGGGTAGGCGGGTGGAGGGAAGGGGTAGGTGGGTAGGTGCGTGGGTAGTTAGGTGGGTGGGTGTGTGAGTGGGTAGGTAGGTGGGTGGGTAGCAGACAGAAGGAATGACCTAGGGACACATTCCCAAGGGTGTATGGAGAGGCTACCATAAAAGCACCAACTTACTATATTCTCCTGGTGGTCCCATGACAGAGTGAACAAATGTGAAATCACAAGAAGCACAACAAATCTGGAAGCAGAGGACTTGATTTAAACTCTAGCATTGCTACTAACAAGCCCAGGCACTTCACTTCTCTGGGCCTCTATTTCCTCACCTGAAACGTGTGTGGTGTGTGTGTCTGCCAGTCTCTCTCACAGAGTTGCACTGACTTAGATAACCTAGAGAAAACAGGGTTTGTAATTAAACAACAGTCATTATTTTCATATACTCTTTATTGAAGTTTTCCTTAAAACTTTTAAACAGTAGAGGAATGGTGCAGAGACGGTGACTGGAGCCAAATGCTGATTCCAGGTAAGAATTCAGTAAGTGGAGAAAGAAGGAAATATCAAAGCTAGCCAATGAGAGGACATTTCACTGGTTCCTATATGCTGAAGGGAGGCTCACTCCCTGCAGTAAATGGCAAACGAGTACAATAAGGCCAACTGGAATTGACTGAGCAAAGCGTATGGCCACTGTCCTTAAGAAAGTCAAGTCTGTGAGAACCATACCTCAAGGTCTGACTTCCACGTTTGGGTTTGCAAGCCCACTCTTCCCTCAGCTGTTAATATCTGCCCAGAACCTCACCTATGACTGTGGCAAACCATCAGCAGACACGCAGTGGTGCCAAATGTTTGAACAACCAAGGAGGGTTCCTATAGGATTGTGGAAAGAGTATCCTTTCCGATTCCAATTTTAAAACAGATGTATAATTACTAAAGCAATTTCATATACATGGTTACTAGCAGGGAAAGAGGGAGTGCTGCCTAAAATACTCCACAGCCGCCTGGTCCTCCTGGTTTCTATATCTTCTGTGTGTTCTTTTGTTTTGCAAAGTGATTTGGAAGATTAGGTGGGTTTTGTTTAGACGGGACAGCATGAGCAAAGTCGGTGAATAAGTGCTACTTGATTGCACAACAAAAGATACACAAGGAGCCTCAGCCACAACTCAATCCACTTGCCCCAACAGTGTGCATTTCTCAATTAAGTTATTTTGTTAGCAAGACTACTGGTTAGGGGAAGGAGAAAGTGCTTATTGCACCGAGATTATTCACTGTATAGAAAGCACTATAATCAGATCAACAGAACATTCTTTCTAAGGGCCCTAGAACTCCTATTTGGTAACATTGCAGATGCAATGGGAATGTGCCTACATTATCGGTGTGCTATAGCAGTCCCTGCAAATAATAGAGTAAAACTCCACAATACTCTTTAATTCAATGATGGATGCCTGGGGACTAAGAATCTGCCTGACATTTCAAGTTGACCAAAAGTTTACATGGAAAATGAGAAACTTTTTCCTCTAGATGTTAATTAAGGAGATAAAATTCTGATGCATTCTAAGAAATTAGTCCCATTAGCCCTCTCTGCCTCATCGGAAAGCATGGATTGTAAGCATGTATTATTACTAAAATCACTTCTGAAAATGAAAAATGAAAACATTCCAATTTTTCAAACATATTCCATAGTTAATTTCCAAAGTTGCCATAAGGAAAATGAGAAAAAAAAAGATTGAGAAGGTATCTTCGATGAGCATAACAAAGGATTAGTTAATATGATACAAATTAGCAAGAATAAAACAACTCAAAAGAATACTGTGCAAAGCATATGAATACAGAATGCACAGAAAAGGAAATCTAAATTACCAATATTAAAAGATGTTCAATCTCACTAAGTAATCAGCTATACCAATAAACGTAACAGCAAAATATTCCTTGCCCATGAGATTGACAAGAATTTTAAAGTCTGGTACTACCAACTGTTGGTGAAGATACAGTGAGACAAGAACATTGATACTCTAGCACAGGAATATAAATGGGTACTGGAAACCAAAAATAAAATTCTAAGCCCCTCTCAACCATCTGAATGGACCTCTCCTCTTGGCCAAGGGCATTCCAAAGTCAACCTGAAAACCCAGTTCAGGCTATGATGTGAAGGGGGGTTGGACATGCCTCATTATATCCGTCTCCCTTTTGGAATTCAGGAAAAGCAGGCCAGCATTAATATCAACACAGACCTTAAGTCTGATAAGAAACATTTACAATCTATTCTCTCTGAAACCTGCTACCAGGAGGCTTCAACTGCATGATAAAACCTTGGTCTCCACAACCCCTTAGCATAACCCAGCCATTCCTTCTTATTGAGGATAATTCTTTCAACCAGTCGCCAATCAAAATTTTTATATCTACCTATGACCTAGAAGCCCCTGATTCAAGTTGTCCTGCCCTTCCAGATCAAACCAGTGTACATCTTACAGGTATTGAATGATGTGTTTTACGTCTCCCTAAAAGGTATAAAACCAAGCTGTACCCCCATCACCCTGGGCACATGTCAGGACCTCCTGAGGCTGTGTCACAGATGCATCCTTAACCTTGGCAAAATAAACTTTCTAAATTGATTGAGACCTGTCTCAGATACTTTTGGGTTCACATTACAAATACTTGGGAGAATGGCGTGGCATTACTGAGTAAAGCTGAAATATTCAGAAACTGGGCTCCATTTCTAAGTCCTCCTCTAGAGATCACCCAGATGTGTAGGAGGGTCATGACAGCATGGGTAGCACAAAGCAGATCCCTAAACGCCCATCCACAGAAGAATGGCTACGCTAAAATGAGACACTCTACAGCCTCATACCCACATTAGCAATAGAGATAACGCTCAGAAATATCTAATTTCATTTGCAAAAGGATAGCAACAGTTTAAAATATTTTATCAAAGTTTTTAAACATGTAAAATATATTGTTTATGGCTACATGTATACGCTGTAATTCCAGAAAAATGTGCATGAAAGTGTTCTACACCAATTTCAGACGTGAGAGAGAGTAAGGCTTTAGTTATATCCTTAATTTTTTTTTTTAACATCTGAGGAAAATAAATATGGCATTTGTCACTTCTGAATAATGGGTATATGGGTATTCATTCTACTTTATTTAATACTTTGCTATCTATTTGAAGGTCTTCGATATTTACACAATTTTAAAGCATTTTAAATATATATATATATAAAACAGTCTATTGGAATAAACAGCTGAAAAGCATACAGAATTAGGTACATTATCTTTATCCATCATCCTCATGTGTCTGGAGAAACTAACTAGATAATTGTCTCCCATGTTTATGATACCTATCAGCTAAATTGCTTTCAGGCACATTATCTCACTTAATATTCTGAACAACCCTTTGATATTGGTATTATGACAGCCACTTCACTTATAGGAAAAGTCAACCTTTAGAGTTTTGGAGATTTTCCCAAGATTATCCAGTTAGTAAGTGATGCAAAACTGGGATCTCACTGTCAATGCTACAGCACAGATGACCCGTAAGAACCCTGACAATATATTATTCCAAAGTTACATGCATCATCTTTAAGATCTGTCCTGAAGCTACAGGTTTGAATTCACAAATGAAACAGAATACTTTATCACTGACATTTTTAAAGCCTTCAGTCAAATCTGTTTCTTCTGACTATTTTTAATATACTGACCTCTTCTAAAAATAAGTTGCAAAAGTCTGATAAAACCTCGCATGTTAATAACCAAAAAAATGGAAATCTTACCCAGGTAGCGTATTCTCTCCTTTTAAAAATAATTTTTCTAAATTAATAAAGTAGAAACTACAATGTCATCTCTTATATTCTTTTATTCAATGTGCTAGTGGTAAACACATACTAATCTCTGGGTAGCTAGTGATTAAAGAAGGCTCAGTCCCTAATTTGAGAATGTAACTATCATTAAACAAGTTATCAAACACAAGTAGCACCAACAACATAAGCTAAATTTAAGGAATACAGAGCTGAGACACTGTCCAGGTTACTGCACCCAGTACAAAACTAACAATAAAAATAACAGTATCAACTATGGGTAGCCTGAATTTCACCCTCACCTACCAATAATAAGGTACCCTCCTACTCCCCCACCTCACAGAAATGAGGGAGTGCCCCCCTTTCCCCTGCTAGCACAGTGTCAGAGAAGGTTTGTTAACACAGAAGGCTTAAATAAAATCCAGTCTCATAGCATAGTACCCAACATGCCTGGATATAATCAAAATCATTTATCATACCAAGAACCAGGAAAACCTCAATTTAAACGAGAAAACACAGTCAAGAGATGCCAACATTGAGATGGCACAGATGTTGGAATTATCTGACAAGGATTTGAAAGTAGCCATTATAAACATGTTTCCACAAACAACTAAAAATGGGCATGAAACAAATTTTAAAAACAGAAAGTCTCAGTAAAGACATAGCAGATAAAATAACCGAAATTAAAACTCACCCAGTGAGCTAAACAGCAGAATGAAGATGACAGAGAAAAGAATAGGTGAATCTGAAGGTAAGAACAATAGAAATTATGCAATCTGAATAGTAAAGAGAAAATAGACTTAAAAAATAATCAGTATCAAGCACTGGTAGAACTATAACAAAGTTTTAATATTCACATCCTCCAAGTCTTGGAAGGAAAGGAGAAAGAGGGCACACCTGGGGAAGTATTCAAAGAAATAATGCCTGACAACTTTCCCAATTTAGCAAAAGACATAAACCTACATATTCAAGAAGGTGAATGAGCCCCAAACAGGATACACCCAAAGAAATCCACAAAAAGGCACAACATAACACATTCCTTGAAAACTAAGGACACAGCAAGATTTTGAAAGTAGTGAGAGAAAAAGGACATCTTAGCTGAAGGGCAAAACAATTCAAATGACAGCAGATTTCTCATCAGAAAACACAAAGGCAAAAGAAGGGAGTACAACTGAAGTTGCGCTGAAAAAAAAGAAATTGTCAACCCAGAATTCCACTTTTGGGGATATACTCAAAAGAACTGGAAACAGGAGCTCAAAGAGATATCTGTGCACTCATGTTCATAGCACCATTATTCACAACAGCCAAAAGGTAGAAGCAACCCAAGTTTCCACTGGCAGATGAATGGAGAAAGAAAATGTGGTCTGTCCATACAATAGAGTATTATTCAGCCTCATAAAAGAAGGAAATTCTGACACATGCTAAAACATGTATGAATCCTGAGGACATTATGCTAAGTGAAAGAAGCCAGTCACAAAAGGACAAACACTGTATGATTCCACTTATATGAGGTACCTGAAGTAGTCAAATTCATAGAGACAGAAAACAGAATCAAGGTTGCCACGATTCTGTTGCGGGGTTTGGGGAAGGGAAGAATAGAAAGTTATTGTTTATGGGTACAGAATTTTGGTTTTGCAAGATGAAAAGACTTCTGTGGCTTGATGACGGTAATGGCAGCATAACAATGTGAATGTACCTGATACCACTTAAAAATGGTTAAGACGGTAAAATATGTTATGCATATTTTATCACAATTTCTAAAAATTAAAAAAATAATTTTGTAAAACATAAATAATATCTACCATTTATTAAGTATTTACTACATACCAGACACTATGCTAAGAGCTCTGCATGTATTTCCTTATTTCTCCTCCCAAAATCGTGTGAGGGAAATACCATGATCCCTGTTCTGCAGATGAAGAAATTAGGTTTACATAACTTGGCCAAAGTCCCACAACCAAAAAATTGAGTCAAAATTCAAACTCAGTTTGGGGAGATGCTGAGGAACATTATCTCTAACCCAAGACGGTAAAGGACTATTTGTTTCAAAGGCAGATTTCCCATGAATACAGCTAAGGTGAAACACTCCTGGGTCTTTGAGAACAATTTGATCTTTTCAGATGAGGTACAATAACTTAGAAGGGCTAATAGGAAAAGAGATATAAATGACATTGATAGACAAGGATAAAAGAATGGCATCACTCCAGAGGGACTAATTCTTCAGTATTTTGCACAAAACCTCCAGATCCACACATAAGGGGTATTCTAATTGTGTAAGACTGAGAGATTCTTAACTGTAAGAGAAGAAAATGTGCATCTCCTCTGATAACGTGCAATACAGAACACACACAGGTAACATTTTTCACTTTCTGCTTGCTTTTGGAGAAATAAAATAACCTGAGCACAACTCACGGCCAAACTTTTAAGTCGAGCTTTGCAGAGGTGGTACAATTATTCAGAATCTGATGAGTTTCAGAATAAACTCCTAACTCCAGTACTCTCAAAACCTTTTCTTTCACTTGATCTAAATTTCTACTTACTCATCCTCCCCTGTTTCACCATGTTCTCTAGAACACTTCTGATCACATCCCCTAGCCCCCTAGACTCCATGGTCAGATACTGGAACACTGCCCTCCCTGGCCACAGACCTTTGACCTTCTCCCAATACCTGCTATTCCAGTTCCAAGCCTGTATGCACCCCAGGACCTCCACAAGCACAATGGGGACTTGGTACCTTCCTGCAGCAGATCAAGGCACAGGGCTTGGGCAGCAAAGCTGAGGCTAAATTCCAGCCCCTCACCGCCTTGGACACAGAACTATACACAATGCTCCTGACTCTGCCTCTCCCTCTCCTGGGCCTCAAAACCTCCCAGGACAAAGACCCAGAAAGACGATGTTCAACATGAACTGGCCTCAGCAACCCATTTACATCCCCCCATGCAGCCCCTCAATAACACCTTATGCCCTCTCAACACCTGCGGTTGCTGATATTGCAGTCTAACCCAGGATCCCACATTCACCCTTGCTCCCTCAAAGGCCCCTAGTGCTGCAGCTACAACAGGACTGAAGCTGCTTGCTGGGCAGCGCCCTCAACTCTGCACAACTGCCCTCACCACCTTCTCTGTCTCCATCCCCTCTGCCTTTGTCCTGCCCTCAAAAGAAACACTTTAAACTCACTGGGCACTCCACTGGCCTGCTGCATGCTCAGGCCACACCACCAAGTCCTAAAGTACAATATGGGATGCTTTGGGAAAATGAGGACAGAGGGAATGCAAGACAACAGAGGGCTGGCCAGAGAGAAAGCCGGTGTCCAGGGCCACCCCACACCAGGCAAGTCCTTGTTTCATATCATCTCCAATGGCCACCGCAAGAGAGCCTAATGTGGTCACAAATAATGTGGCCCTCTGCTGCACCCCTCTAAACCCATAGCCAGCAACAGAGAAACAAGATAAAGAAAGCACAGTACTTTTTGTTTTTCTATCCATGAAGGAAAAAACACTCTCTTAGTCAAATAAGACTCAACAAGCTAATACTCTGGTTCGCCACTCAGTTTATTTCTTCCATGAATACTTATTAAGTGGCCATTGTGTACCAGTCCCTGCGCCCAGCATGGCTGCTTGGATTACATGGAATAACAGGCGAAGGTATTTGGTAACCTGAAAAGGTACCTACATTCATCAATTATTCCTATCCTCTCCTCTACCCAACTACACTAGGAATTCCTATGGGCAGCAATTATATCTTTTGCCTGGCACAGAGCAAGTCCTCTGGGAGTATCTGCTGAATGACCTCAGCAGTGTATACCCACGGCTGAGACACTCCTCATCTCCATTCCATGGGCCACCAGCTCTGCCTCACGCCTGGGCCACCAAAGCAGCCTACAAGTACATCTCCTCAGATCACGTGACTTTTATCTCCTCTTCAAAGATGAACCTATGCCTTCTTTTTGTATCAGAGAACAACTGCATGGAATAAACTTAGGCCACTGAGTTAAATGCACTCTCTCTCTCTCTCACTCACAAACATACACACACACGAACCACTAGAATATAGAAAGTGAACTGATAGGTCCATTTAAAATATACCACACCCCCTAGCAAACCTTCTTTCAAAGGGCCATGCTGGCCTCAGGATGTGGGAGGGGCCTTATCTTCCTCCTTTGTCTCACAACAGAAAACAAAGGAAAGAAAAAAATCCCACATAAACAGGCCACTGTTGTTTACGTTGCAGCCACGTCTTCGAAGGTTCAATTACACCTGCTTTGACATATGTAAGATCTAGCATGTGAGCAGTGGCTCATTCTCAGTTTCTTCCTCCCTGATTTGAATTGCTTATTTTACATGTCTGTCAGAAGACTTGAACAACTCAAGTTTTCTGGCCAATAAAATGTAACAACCAAAATAGTCATAAAACAAGATTCTTACAGCTACGTGTAATACAACTAATCTCCTGATTTTTTATAATCACACTCTACAATATGTGTATTGTGCAAGAAAAGTGAACATACTTTGTTGAAATTAATCTCATTATAGTACTGCCTTTTTCTATCTAGGCGTTTAAATTTTATTTTAAATCTATTCCCTCTTCCATCCCCGTTACCCAAAATAACTTTATCAATAAAATATTAGCATATTTAAGTGAGTGCTCAATAAACATTTGTTGAATAAATGAATAAATGAGCGAGTAATTATAAAATACTGGACTAACGCTTCCTGAGAAGTTCGCATTAATTTGTAGAATAATGTGCTTGTATGTTCAGGTACATACATCAAAATGGAATTTAATAATAGGTATCAAGTAGCAGTTAAATATTAACGCATTTCTGCCTCAATAATTTTACTTCAAAATATTATACAATTCAAACGACCATAATTATGAGGTGAGATAGGGTTCATTTACAATCAAACCAATAGTATTTATATACTTTAAAATAAGATTTGAAATACTAATATGGAAATAGTTAATAACCTAAATGTCAATGTGTTTGTAGTACAAAAGGTCTAAAAATAAAGAAGCATGCATTATGTTACAACTAAATGTCTTTTTAAAAAAATGTAATCAACGCAACTTCTTAATCACACTTTTTTTTAAAAAAAGCTTGCACAAAGACGTGTCTATTATACCCGTTTTACAAGGAACATCTTTATGGGAGATTTTCTTTCATTTTAAGCTATGTAATGTGTAGGCCAGAGAGAATTTCTATTGGTAAGAAACTTCAGTGACTATAATAGCTAGTATTTATCAAATTTTAAGTTTAATATACACTGTAAAATGTAGTTTTACCAGTATCGAAAAATTTAATATTTCTTAAGGTATATTCTGACATATTTGTTTTTTAATTCACCTACTTTTGATCATACTGCTGGAAAATAATTGGACATGAAATAGTTTGGATATAAGTTTGTTCTGAGTTCGCTGCAAAGAAGTTAAGAAATCAGCTAGCAAAAATTATTTTAACTTCAAGAAAAAATGGACTTAAAAATTAAATAAGTTATATATTTAGCAAACCTAAATGGCAAGAAGTTATGTTAAATGTTTAAGAAGTAAATGGAAGTAAATATAAATCGGCAATAAGACGGTCAGTATTAAAATGAAGCTCAATTTAAACTTGTTTGCTGAACTTTCTTTTTGTTTCATATATTGTTGTTTTTTAGTATAAGCATGAATGATCCTGTAATCAATTCAAAAAGGAAGACTGCAGTCAGGCAAACATTTCCTTCCGAGTGCCTATCAGCATGTCTTTCATGTCTTGGCGTCCATTTTAGGAGTATCAGCGACGTAGTGTATAAAGGAGCTTATTAAACAAAGGTTGTCATTTTGGCAACACACATAAATGTTAAGTGATTTCATTTTACAGAAAATCAAAATGTTGATTAATTAAAAAGTTGAAGAACATACTTAAGCTTAACTGTTCAAACACCTCTGTTAGATTTCATATATTTTTCAATCATATTTATATATTAAATGCCATTTTCAGGATTGCTGATGTGTCACTATAATTTTATAAAAAACATGTGAAACAATTAATCATTTAAGGCGCGCAATAATGGAAAGCTATAGACAGGTTTTTATTGTCGAAGGATTAAGAAATCAATGATTACATACTCCAAACAAAAGCACAGATCCAGGGGCAGTCTTTTATACTGCCCAAAATGATGAGTACTTATGTGAATAGATACAATTTTCCTGTATTCTTTCGGCATATAAAATAAAAAGAAAATACATGATTATAGGAAGTCATAACTTAATCCTACAAGTCAAACTGTCTTTAAAAACAGAATACTTACAATCAGGGTGATCCACAGTAACACATGCCTTACAGTTAACCTCTCCTACAATAATGCTGATTTTTAAGAACAGAACTATCACAATCCAATCATAATCAGGCCTAATAGGAAAGATTCATTGTTCAGAAATTAGATATAAAGTATATATCTAAGTAAAACACCAGGTAGTATTAAAAAGAAAATCGGTAAACTTTCTAAATTTTCCTTCTACTTAAAACATTTTGAGAGAGCCAGGCTACAGTAATCGTTTAATTATAAAATCTAATCAACCAAAAATAAGAAATTTTTCTCCAAGTATTGCAAACACAGCTCACCACTTCTTCTCCAAAAGATTTAAATTTCTATTCTCTACCATTCCCAGCCATTTCTGCCAACATCATAAAAATCACCTTTCATCATTTCCTTCTCACAATGAGAATTCACTAATCGCATACATCTCTTAGACATAGACACCTCCCCACCCACCTCCCAAAAATGGTTCAGAGCAAAGACACACAAAAAAATAATGACCAAGCTCACATTTCTTGTTTGCCCTTCAAGCGAAGTCTGGTGTCTTCAGCTTGCCTTTCTGGTCTTCAGTGTTGTCACTAATTGCTGGGGGATGTAGTTTAGGACAGCATGAAGCAGCAGAAATAAAAGCTGTTGCTTTAAGAAAACGTTTTCTTAAACACATGGATAAAACAACTTTTACTCTGACTTCCTGGCTGGGCTGCATAAAATCTTAGAAAGGCTCCTTGAAAAGTTAATGTCTATAAATGTCTAAAAATAAAATAAAATAAAATCTAAAAACTTACGTTCTGAACACATTCCGAAGGATGTCTTTCTGATTTGATTTGAAAGCAGGTTTGTATTGATGAACAAACTTTATTTTGTAGAAAATTAATATTCCCTCTAATTAGAAATTTGCCTTGCCATCTTCTATATTAATCCTGTCTCTCATGGTATAATCATACATGCAAAAAATCAAATATAGTATTTCCCAAATGCATGGACACTATGGAAGCTTCGTTTTGAAAAAGGCTTTTATTTCCCTTAATACTGGTGACTAAACGTCATTGTATGTACCAACACTTTCAAATAGCCCAAGAGACTTAAAAAGCCTTCTAAGTTTGAAAACCAAAAAGTTCTGAGTTTTTCTGTACCCCAGGACGGTTTTCTTTCCTGAAGCTCAAGCCGAGAAAGCAGACAAAAGAAGCTGATTTGACTGAGCTGTGCCAAGTCTTGCCTTTTTTTCTTTCCTCAGCTCTCCCTCTGCCTCTCTCTCTCCCTCTTTCTCTCTCTCACTCTTTTGCTCCCAGTATGGCAACCTTCCGAGCAGTCTTGGCGGAGGTCCAGGCTGTGCCAGTCTGTCTGAATTCTTGTCTCCAAAAGATGTCCTTTGCGGATCAATTAATACATTTGAAAACAGGAAACCGTGGTACGGTACCCAAATCCTGGCACCAACAGCATCGACTTCTGCCAAATCACCTTACAGATTTCATGGTATCCTACCTTTCATAATTATTACTAACATGTTCCCGGAGCAATAATGGAGTACTAGAAGCCATTCACTGCTCAGCAATAAGGAATCTGTTCCCTAGAAATGTCCATATGCGACATATGCACAACCTGCAATAAATCAAATTTCTCCTGTGAGAAGAGATGTATGTAACTTTAATAAGCACCACATACTGTATTTCTTTTTATAAGACTTGCTTTTCCTTGTCCTGCCGCAAAGACTCATGGGAGAATAGAAACGGAGGCATGCAGATTAAAATTAAAACCGTATGCCCAGAAATGTCATGCTTTATCCTATGGAGAATGAATATAGTTTTGATTGATCTGCAACTTTATTTTTAAGGAGGCTCTAATACAAACTGTACCTATTCAAAATTTTACTACAGATGTACAGGGGAGAAGAGTTCTTTTGATAAAACAAATAACAATAAAAAGGAAAATAAAACATCTAAGGTCAATTTAATAACAGCAAGTATCTTTTCATATTTTGACACCTCAAGTTCCAGCATAGTCACTTGTTTACTTAATTCATGTTAATACAATATAATAAGCATAAATAAGTACTGTTTGCTTTTATTTTTAACATAAACACCTTTTGAAGCAAAATAGCCAGTCTGTGCTTCACACACTTACCTGGTTTAAGAAATCATTTTTACCTATGATGCTTGAACATAGAAAAGAGCCACATTCTAGAATCATCGTTTCATAGAAAGAACCCAGAAAAGTGACTTCTAGTCCTTGATTCTGCCACGTTCTAATTTAGATAACTCAAGGTCTCAAATTGCTAATCTATCTAATCTCCTCAGTTTGCTCATTTACCACTTATGAAAATCAGTGACTTCCTATTCTTTGCTTCCAAACTACTACGTTTATGCACATAGATACCTTCATCCTAATTGCATAGTAATTAGTTAAGTTTGTGTGCTCTGCCAATCAAATGTGTCATCTTCACAATTAGGATCATGTGTCATTTATCTAAGAAAACTCAAAGTCTTGCATACAGCCTTCCATATACAGCTGTCCAACAAATCTATTAAGTAAATAAGTTATGGGAACGGATCACATAAATATCAATCTGAAATTCTATTAAGTAATATAACAGTGAAAGACAAAACCACATATTACTGAACCATAAAGTTGATAGATCAATAAAATGCTACAGAGATATCACAAGTGTTGAATTAAAGCACTGACAAAAGTGTCCCATGCTGTCCCTTCAAATAGGGATGATGAAACGTGGGCAGACTAACAGTGAATTTGTAATTCAAAACCAATAACCTGTTAATAGCCAAAGACTAAAGAGAATCTTGAAAGCAGCATTGGAGAAGCGACTCATCACGTGCAAGGAATCCTCAGTAAGATTAACAGCCGATTTCTCATTGAAAACCATGGAGACCAGAAAGCAGTGGGATAACATAGTCAAAGAGCTGAAAGGAAAATAACTGTCAACCAAGAATTCTATGTCAGCAAAACTATTCTTTGAAAATGAAGGAGACATTAAGACATTCCAAATAAAAACAGAGTTCATTACTAGCAGACCTGCTCTACAAGAAATAAAGGAACTTTTCCACCAAGCTGAAATGAAAAGACACTAGACAGTAAATCAAATCAATGAAGAAATATAGGAGTAAGTATAAAGGTAACTGCAGAAGTGAATATTTTACAAATAGTATAAATGTATTTTAAAATAAATGTAACATAGTTTAATTTTTTAAATATCCTTAAGCATTTCTAAAATATTTAAAATGGGATAAATGTACTCTTTTTTCTATCTGATGTAAATGACAAAAGCATAGAACTGTTGTTATAAACCTATGTTGAAAAGCACACAATCTATGAAGAGGTAACATGTGACAATAAGAGTAAAGAAGGAATAGAACAGAGCTATATAGGAGCAAAGTTTTTGTATATTATTACATTGGTATTAATCTGAATTAGATTGTTATAAATTAAGATGTTAACTGTAATCCCCAGGGCAACCACTAAGCAAATAACTCAAAAACATAGAGGAAAATAAATGGCAAGGAAATTAAAATGTTACTTGAAAAAATATTTAACATAAAATAAGGTAGTAACAGAAGAACAAAAAAGACAAAGATACGTAGAATATAGCCCAATAGCATAAGTAAATCCTATCTCATCAGTAATTGCATTAAACTTAAATGAATTAAACACTCCAATTAAAAGACATAGATTGGCAGAACGGATTAAAATTTTAAAACAAAATTCAACTATATGCTGTCTACAAAAGACACACTTTATACTCAAAGACATAAAAAGGTTCAAAGTAAAACTATGTAAAATATATATACCATGCAAAAAGAAACCCCAAGAGAGCTAGAATGGTTATACTAACAAGCAAAACAGACTTTAAGAAAACGCTTGCTACTAAAGATAAAGAAGGACGTTTTATAATGCTAACAGGGTTAATTCATCAAGAAGAGACAACCAATATAAACATACATAAGAACAGAGCCCCAAAATACACAAAGCAAAATCTAAAATAATTGAAGGGAAAAATGGGTAATTCAACAATGATAGTTGGAAACTTCAATACCTTTCATTCCACAACTGTGAGAACAACTAGACAAAAGATCAGCAAGGAAACAGAAAACTTGACCAACACTATAAATCAACTAGTACCAACAGACATCTACCAAACAATCTACCCAACAAGAGCAGAATTTTTTTTTTTTTTTGAGACAGAATCTCACTCCGTCACCAGGCACAATCTCACCTCACTGCAACCTCCACTTCCTGGATTCAAGCGATTCTCCTGCCTCAGCCTCCCAAGTAGCTGGGACTAAAGGCGTGCGCCACCATGCCCAGCTAACTTTTATATTTTTAGTAAAGATGGGGTTTCACACATGTTGGCCAGGATGGTCTCGATCTCTTGACCTCGTGATCTGCCCACCTCGGCCTCCCAAACTGCTGGGATTACAGGCGTGAGCCACCGTGCCTGGCCAGAATGTACATACTTAAGGATATATGGAACATCCTCCAGCAGGCAATATGTTAGGCTATAAAATGAACCTCAATAAATTTAAAATGATTAAGTCAAAGTGTGTTTTCCAACCACAATGGAATAAAAGTAGAACTCAATACAGACCAAAAAAAGAAAGGAAAAATCACAAATATATGGAAATTAAATAACACTCCTAAATAATGAAGAAATAATAAAGACTAGAGTGGAAATAAATGAAATAAAGAACAGGAAAACAAACACAGAATATCAGCAAAGACACTGCAAGAGTACTACTACAGACCCTTTAACTCACACCTGTTAGAATGGCTATTATGAAAAAGATCAACAAAAACAAGTATTGACAAGAACGTGGAGAAAAGGGAACCATCTACACCATTGAAAGGAATATGAATTAATACAGCCATTATGGAAAACAGTATGGAGGTTCCTCAAAAATTAAAAATAGAACTACCGGCCGGACACAGTGGCTCAAACCTGTAATCCCAACACTCTGGGAGGCCAAGCCAAGCAGATTGCCTGAGGACAAGAGTTCGAGACCAGCCTGGCCAACATGGCAAAATCCCACCTCTACTAAAACTACAAAAATTAGCGGGGTGTGGTGGCACGCATCTTTAATCCCAGCTACTTGGGATGCTGAGGCACGAGAATCACTTGAACCCGGGAGGCAGAGGTTGCAATGAGCCAAGATCGCACCATTGCACTCCAGCCTGGGTGATAAGAGCAAAATTTCAACTCAAAAAAAAAAAAAAAACTACCATATGATCCAGCAATCTCACTTCTGAGCATATATCCAAAGAAAATGAAATCAGTATACTGAAGACAATGTGTACTCCCATGTTCACTGCCGCATTATTCATAATAGCCAAGACAGGAAATCAGCCTAAGTGTCCATCAACAGATAAACGAGGAAAATATATATGGTAAACGGAATACTATTTGGCCTTTAAAAATAAGATTCTGCAATATGTGACATCACAAAAAATAATATGTGAGGCAATGCACATAATTAGCTTGATTTAGCTATTCTATAATGTATACATATTTGCAAATATGTTATACACCATAAATACAATTTTTGTCACTTTTTAAATGTGAATAATGAACATAAGTAAAAATTTAAAGCACTACAGACCAATATCGTTACGAATATAGATGAAAAAATTCTGAGCAAAATACTAGCAGACTGAACACAGCAAAATATAAAAAGGATTATAAGCCATGACCAAGTGGGATTTATCCTAGGAAAAGAAGACCAGTCCAACATATAAAACTCAATCAATGTAAAATACCATATTAATAGAACCATGTTCAGAACCCACACGATCATCTCTACACAGAAAAGGATTTGACAAAAATGCACACATAAATGCCCACAGAATCATTGTTCATAATAATCCAAAATGCAAACAATCCCCATGTTCAGCAGCTGATGAACTGATACAATGTTGTTGGGCTACACATTGGAATATTACTCAGCAATACAAAGGAAGGAAGCACTGACGCATGCAATGGCATGGATGGGCCTTTGAAAAAAGTATGCTAAATGAAAAAGCCAGACACAGAAGTCCGCATATTGTATGATTCTATATATATGAAAGGTTCAGAAGAAGCAAATCCACAGACACAGAACATAGCTTATTGGTTGCTGGGACCTGGGCAGAGGGAAGAATTGGAAGTGACTGCCAATGACTATGGGGTTTCCTTTTGGAGTGAACCAAACATTTTCACGGTTTAATGGTGATGTCTGCACAACAAAGTGAATGTACGAAAAACCACTGGATTGTACATAATAAAATGACAAGTTTTATGGCATGTGAATTACATCAACTTTTTAAAAGTTGCAGTCCATCTCTCCAGTATTTACGGCTGTTACAACCCAAGATAAACTCACAAAAATCCTTTATAGCCTCTTAAACAGAGGCAATACTATACATTAACTAAACTCTTATCCACCTGAATCTGCTTCAGGAATCTGCCCAGCTAATTCTAGTGCCTTACTGTTTTGACTTCTTGGTTCCATCCCAGCCAACTCCAGCATTCCTGATTCCATCCAAACATCGCTCCCTTCTGCCAGCTCTGTTGGTTCTGGCTCTGAGAGCTTCTGCTCTCCTGGACTGCTAGGCCCTCCCAGAGGCACCCAGTCATTTTTGTCTTCCAACTCACACTGCCAGGCCCTAGGGAATTCAAAATTTTAACAGCCAGCCCCCGCTGCATTAAGTCTCTGCTTCCCAGGACTCATTTTGCTCTCCATGTGCACCATGAATCCCAGCAGGCACACACAGCCCTTTTCAATAGTAACCCAAGATCTGACTCATCCCCTTTCATGCTGCTGTGGTTTGGATGTGGTTTGCTTGTCCCCACCAAGTCTCATGTTGAAATTTGATACCCACTGTGATGGTGTTGGGAGGTGGTGCCTCGTGGAAGGTGTTCGGCTCCTGGGGGCATATCCCACATGAACGGATTGGTGCCATTCTCAAGGGATCAAGTGAGCTCTCACTCTCATGAAACGGGACTGTTTCTAAAGGAATAGATTCGTTCCCTGAGAGTGGGGTGTTATAAAGCCAGGACGCCCCTTGGGTTTGGTCCTTCTTCGCAGGTGCTCGCTTCTCCTTTGACCTTCTGCACCAAGTTTTGATGCAGCACAAAGGTCCTCACCGGAGGCCAGCAGATGCTAATGCCATATTTCTTATACAGCCTGCAGAACTGTGAAGGAAAAAGACCTCCTTTCTGTATAAATTATCCAGCCTCAAGTATTCCTTTATAGCAACACAAAATGACCTAAGACAAACACCTACCTCTCGTCTACCCGCTGTGGTTTCCCCTCCTAGCCATGTCCTTGGACAAGATGCTGCTTTCTATATCCACATCAGACACTGACCATGGGAATGTGCAATGGCAAATTCACAAATATGAGGCATTTTCCCTCCAGTTTTTACTGTTTACCTGATTTACTGGTGGCCTCAAAACCTTTTGATTCAAGCTCAAAGAGGAGGTGAAAATGAACACAAAAAGGGAAATACAAAAGGAGGCAATTGTTAGGTTTGTTCTTTTGTTCTTTTAAGGCTTTGTTCTTTTTAAAAAAATAAATTTTACTGTGTATTTTTGAGTTTGACAACGTGATGATACGGGATGCATATAGATGGCAAAATGGTTACTGCAGTGAAGCAGACTAACATATCCATCACCTCAGAGTTACTGTGTGTGTGTGTGTGTGTGTGTGGGACAAAAGCAGCTAAAATTTACTTATTTAACAAAAATCCCTAATACAATTTTATTAACTTTAGTCATGATGTACATTAGATCTCTCATTTGTCCAATATATCTGTTTTTATTTATCCTTTGATCTACATCTCCCCAATTCCTCTCCCCACCCGCAACCCATGGAAACCACTGCTTTATTCTCTACGTGTGTATTAATATTTGAGATCTTTTTAAAAATATTTCATATAAGTGAGATTATGTAATATTTCTCTCTCTGTGTCTGCACATTTCACTTAGCATAACGTCCTTTAGATCCGTCCGTGCTGTGGCAAATGGCAAGATCTTCTTTCTTAAGGCTAGTATTCCATTGTATACATATATCACATGGTCCTTATTCCTCCCTTGATAGACTTTTTTTTTCTGAGATGAAGTCTCACTCTGGTGCCCAGGCTGGAGCACAGTGGTGTGATCTCAGCTCACTGCAACCTCATCCTCCCAGGTTCAAACGATTCTCTCGCCCCAGCCTCCAGAGTAGCTGGGACTGCAAGCATGCAGCCACCACACTCAGCTAATTTTTGTATGTTTAGTAGAGATGGGGTTTCGCCATGTTGGCTGGGCTGGTCTCGAACTCCTGACCCCAAGTGATCCACCCGCTTCAGCCTCCCGAAGTGCTGGGATTACAGGTGTGAGCCACCACGCCTGGCCAGTTCCTCCCTTGATAGACATCTTAGTTTCCACATCTTAGCTATTGTCAATAATGCTGCAGCATACATTGGAGTGCAGACATCTTTACAAGGTAATGATTTCATCTCCTTTAGCTATATTCCCAGAAGAGGAATTACTGGGTCATATGGAAGTTCCATTTTTAACTTCTGTAGGAACCTTCATGCTGTTTTCCATAATGGCTATACCAAAATACATTCCCACCAACAGTGAACTAGGGTTCCCGTAGTTGGTGGTTACAGATGGTAGCATGGGGAAGTCTTTCTACAGACTTAACAGAAGTCTCTTGAGAGTGGCAGAAGAAACAGGAAGTCAAAATGAACAGACTACCTCTATACCTGGGGTTTTTCAAACTTCCTTCCAAGGAGCCCTAAAGTCCCCCAGATGCTTCAGGGCTTTGACAAAGGACAAAGAAATGATAAGCAGGTGAGGTCCTAGATCACCCCTGCATTAACTGAAGTATTTGCCATTAAAGGTAATGGCAAAAACCGCAATTACTTTTGCACCTACCTAATTCTTCCATTTCTGTGATTTATATGTATGAGGTTTACCTGAGATTTTGCCAAAAAGTCTACTGCATTTGGAGAACCCATGAAAATTAAAATAAATTTAAAATGTCTCTCTTAGAAAAAGTTTAAAATCCTTTACTTTAAGCCAATCTTAGAAAACACTCCCTAATGAAATAACCTAACAAGAAACCTTGAGGGTATGGCACTCTCAGAATATTTACAATGTGAGCTAATATTGTCATCTGACATTGAACACTGAGACAGGCAACCACTCTCCCAACCATATCAAGAACAGACCTACCTAGCCCACGGGACAGAAAATGGAAGACAAATGAGTTATGGACCATTTCCCTACTTTCTCTCCCTCTGGAAATTTAGATCCTTAGAGCTACAATCTGAAACTCCAAAGAGCACAGATCTGGTCTCCTTTCCCTGCTTTCCTTCAGTGTTAGACACATCCATTCACTCGAACAATTCTCTCCAGCACTCTCTGAACAACCACTACTTGCCAGGCATGAGCCAAGGGATATGGAGCCCCTGCCATCATGGAGCTCAGGACAGACAGAGAGACATGCAAACAAATCATTATAAACACAAGCCATGCATGAGCTGTGGTAGAAGCACAGACATGCTCTCCCAGGGACACAGGAAGGAAACAACCTGTTCATGAGTCATCCACCAACATACTCATTTTATAGGTATTTGTTGTATTTATAGTATGCTGAAATTAGTAAGGCTCTGGGAAATATAGAGGCACATCAGAAAGGCTCCAACCCTCAAGATGTTTAAGGTCTAGTAGGAAGATAAGACACTTTGCAAACACAACCATGCTTTACACGTGACAATTCTTATTATTGAAACATCTCCCAAAATCATGTCTTCCATGTTGCCTCCCTGGTGTCATAGAAGATAAACTTCCTTTACACAAAGCTCCAGTGTGGAATTCTGAGAGCCCTCCTTCCTAAGGCCAACCCAAATTATATCCATTCTCATTCTCATTCTCATTCTCCTCTCTCTCCCTCTCCCTCTCCCTCTCCCTCTCTCTCTCCCTCTCCCTCCCTCTCTTCTCTCCTCTGCCTGGCCCACCTCTCTTCGCCTCTCCTCTCCTTTCCCTCCCCTCCTTCCTTCTCCACTAGTATATACATAGTCATTACTTGCATTCATTGATTTATTAAGTATTTACTGAGTACCTGCTATGTGTGAAATATGAGGTTAGAAGCCACAATGGACATAAAAATGAAATAAATGAAAAGTGAAATCACGTATTAATAACAACCGCCACAATAAGAAACACTTTGCACTCTTTAACTCATTCACTCCTCACCTAAGCTTTGGAGGAAAATAGGTATTACTTTATGGATGAGGAAACTGACATCCGAAACTATGTGACTTGTCCAGACCATCAGATTCATATATAGGGTAGAAAAATTTCAAGCAACCATCCCAGGTTTCATTATTTAATGAATTCACAAAGCTGGAATTAACATAGGTGCCCTCATACATCCAACTTCCTACTTAACGGTGCTTCTTCAAAGGCTAACTGGCACCTCAAACTCAACTTGGCCAAACCAGAATTCTTGACTTTTTCTCAAAAACCTTCATTCCTTTCTCAACCTCCATTAAATGGTAGCACCAGCATCCAACTGCTCAACCTGAAAACCCAAGAGTCATCTTCAATTCATGCCTCATCACCCACTAGAAAGGCTATTAGGATAAAGACAGACAATATCAAGTGTTGGCAAGTATGTACAGAAATGAATCCTCATACATTGCTGCTGGGAATATAACATGATAAACAGTTTAGCAGTTTCTTAAAAAGTTACACTGATCATAGGAACCAGTTATTTCTACTCCAAAATCTATCCATGAGAAATGAAGACATGGGCTCACAAAAAGACCTGTACATTCATGGAAGAATTATTCATAATACCTCAAAACTGGAAACAATCTGAACACCCAGCAGCAAGGTCTATCTGCTGCCACTAAGGAATAAAATGAAACAATTACTAGTAAGTGCAACAACATGGAAGAACCACAGGAACACTATGCTAGGTGGAAAAGCCCATACAGAGAAGACTACATGTTGGATGATTCCTTTTCTATGAAATTTATCTTTAAAAAGATAACTATGGAGACAGAAAGCAGATCAATTGTTAGCTGGAGGCAGGTGAGCAGACTGACTGCAAAGAGGCAGGAGACAACTTTTGGGGGTGATGACAGTGTTCTAAAACTGGACAGCATTGATGGTTTCACAACTGTACAAACTTGTTAAAAAGCAAATTCCACTACTTTAGAAGAGGTGAATTTTGTGGTACATAAATGATACCTCAATATGGACACATAACAGAAAATATTAACATAGAAACCATCCAAGGTACCGTATCATGCCTTCAAGGGGCTATTGAGATGACTAAGACACTGTCCCCACCTAAAAGAGGTTCCGCTCATCTTCTTCCAGTTGCAGAAACAGGACAGATCCATGGAAGTTATTAGATATCACGTGGCAAGAAATGACTGCCAAATACACACAATAGGCACTTTCTTGAGCACGACAAAGTTTGGAGGAAGAAGAGAGGCCTGGAGCCAGGCACTGGGGAGGCCTTACAGATGATGTTCATCTCAAATGGGGCCATGAGGATGAGTGGAAATCAGAAACGTGGAATAGGGTGGGTATTCTCAAGAACAAACCCAAAGGCAGGAATGCTCAGGATGTGGCAGTCATCAGTGGGCTGTCTGGCTAAAACAGAGGCCCACAGGAGGGCAGGAAGAGCCCCAGGCTAGCTAAGACCTACCAGAGGCCCGAAGCACCCACCCCTCACAGATTTTCCTCAAACTTCAGGCATTTGAGCACTGTGTTCACGATTTTTGCCATATTTAAAACCATAGTACGATTTATTTATGATTTAGTTGATATGTTTTAAACTCACTTCTTTTTAACCTAGATTTTTAAAGGAAATTTTGTATTAAATATAAAGGGGAACCAGCTTCATCTGAAAAAATAAATTTTTTAAAAAATAAAAGAATGTTACTCAATTCGCAAAGCCTATAACTACCTCTAAACTCGAGACTTATTTCTATTAAAAAAGACGATAGCAAGTACTGAAGATTAAAAACATTCTAAAATTCTAAAACAGAAAATTCTAAAAGGATAGGGCAATCTATGTAATAACTAATTTTATTTAGCACTTACTATAGCCACACAGTGTTCTAAACGCTTCTCCTTCTGTGTCATTTAATCTTCATAAAATAATACCTACCTCTCATCAGGGTATCATCAACCCCATTTTTCACCCTAGGAAACTAAGGCACAGAGACCTTAACTAGCTTGACCAAGGTCATGTAACTTGCCCAAGATCATAGAGTAATAAATTTCAGGGTTGGGACTAAACCCAGGTAGTCTGTCTCCAGTTTGTATACCCACCCGCTAAAATTGAGCCAATCCCCACATGAAATAATATTTACGAAGGTTTACATGGTTAAGATCTGTTTGATGAACTAAAAGAAGAAGAGACCAGAAGACTATTACAACGATCCAAGCATCAGATCCTATGAGTCAGTGGAGCCGGGCAGGGGTCACTGTCATTAGCTGCAGGCAGCAGAGGGCCGCAAAGCAGGAGCTGGGCCCCTGCCCAGGGATCTGGCCAGAAGGCAAACCTTAAAGAAAGAGGCTAAGGCCCAGGTCAGAAATGCAAAACCTACTGTGAAAGAGAAGCGCTAGGAAAACCACCATCCTCAGGAGGCCAGAAATCAGAACTTGGAAGCGTGGACAAGTCGGAGAGTACTCCATAACCAGCATGTGGAGCAGCAGGGTCGCTGAAATGCCAGGCCCTGCCTCGACTCCCGATGGCACCCAACAGCCTCTTAAGATGTGACACTGCACAAGTCCTTGCACATTTCACTTCCAAAACATAATATTGATACGAAGACCTCAATTTTATTTGTAAATGGATTTCAGGTCTTTCAAGAGGACAAAATTTAGCTGTACCTTGGCCTAAATCCCCTCTTTGAAATTCAAAGTACTCACTTAGGACTGGGATCTAATTCTCAGAGAAAGTATTTTAAAATTAAAATTAAGCAATACATTTAAATGCTATTTCCAAGCTCTGACAGGTCTGAAACATCGTGAATACAGACGCCATTAATCCACAGACATCAAAATTGTGTTATTACCTTAAATCTTCAAAAATCACTGTTTAGGGAAAAAAACAGGATAGCAGATAAAACTGTCAGAATAAGGAAAAAAAAACCTCTTTGAATAAAATTTTCTCTGCATAGTTTAAAAGACTAAAAAACTTAAAAACAAATGATCTGGAACTGCCCAATTTGATACTTAACTCAGGTTTTGTTAAATAAGCAGAAAAATTAGACACTGTAGGTTTATGATTCACCCTTGAAAAAATGTGATTTCTTATTTCCCTGGAGAAAAACTTTAAGTGCATCAATAGATTTCCGTGGATATCAAATATTTCTCCATCATTGTGAGTAAATTATATTTGGATCAAAATCAGATGGATTAAATTTCTCTTAAGATACCCAAGAGATTTCTAAAATACAGGGAAATGTGTCACATATCTAAAAACAGTATTTTAACCTAATACCTCCATGGAAATGTCTCTCAATTAGAATATTAGCCAGAAAACAAATCTAAAGTGAGTTTTAGATTTGACTAATTCAAAGTAACTTGTTAAAACTAGATTGTCATCTGCTGATGTTAAGATCAAATTCATAATCTTTTGGGCCCTTTGAAAATCTCTGGAAATATGGCTTTATATTTTTAACACAGAAAAAAATGTATCTGAGTGATAAGTTGGATGAGAGTCACAATTTAAATGCTATGTATGCAACAAAGAATGTAAGTATGGTTACGTGCTTCCAAATTCTTGATAAATGCACCCCCAGTCAGTGCCATCAGATTGGAGGCTTAATTATTCTCATCTGTGTTATTTTTGGCTTCCTGACTAGACTATAAACTCCTTAAGAGCTGAGATTATTAACTTTTCTAATCATCCATTAGCACCGTGCTGAGCACATCTAGTCGTTCGGTAAATATTGATTGAATTCCTACTCTGTTCACGGCACTTTGGTGGGTGCTCCAGGGATAAGGTGATAGAGTGAACACAGTGCCCCCTTCACACGAGGAGCGGGTGGAATAAAACACAACCACACAACCGTGTGATGGGCAAAGGGGGTCACAGCACACCGGAATGGAGATCACAGAGAGGGACCCCTCAAGCCCGGTCACCACTTCCTCTTGCCTGTTTGGTTCGACATGTAGTCCAACCTCCAAGGTTACACAATTTAATGCGAGGTCAGTGTTCAAAAAGTCCCATCTTTGCTTGAGAAAACAACTTGGTAGGATTTGGAAGTAACAGATGAGACCCTTAGTGCACGGATGTTAGCCAGAACCCACGCCAAAAAGAAGTGCTCCATCTGTTTTGTGGGAGAAAAGATGACGTATGTTTTCTTAGGAGGGCGAAAGGAAGGAGGGCTGGGAAGGAAGGTGGACAGCTTCGCCCTCAAGCAGGGAGAAGCTGTGAAATGAGGCTGCCTTGGCAGCAGGAATAACCAGGGTTAGAGGTCCCCCTTCCGTGATGTGTGCAGTGTGGCCCCTCCCCCATCACTCCTTCCCCAGTCTTCAGGAAAGTCTAGGACATTCTCACCTGTGTTATGGGTCAGGTTTTGTAGGGTTTGTTTTGTTTCGTTTGTTTGGCTTTTTCATTTTTTAGCAGCAGGGTTTCACACTACCACCCAGACTGGAGTATAGTGGCACCATCACAGCTCACTCAGTCTTGACCTCCTGTGCTCAAGCAATCTTCCTGCCTCAGCCTCCTAAGTAGCTGGGACTACGGGTGCACACCACCACACCAAGGAAATTGCATAATATATTTTTGTACTGTTGGGGGTCTCACTTTGTTGTCCAGTCTAGTCTCAAACTCTGAGCTTCAAGCAGTCCTCTTGCCTTGGCCCTCACAGCGCTGGGACACAGGCATGAGCCACCAAAGCCATGGATGAGGTTTTGATAGAAAATGAGACAAGAGTCAGCAGAGGGGGTAGAATTCGGGGTAGAACATTTGACTGCAGATCAAGAGGTCCCCGCTTCGAATCTGGGTACCCCCTCAATTTCCTTTACATTGGCCAGGCGTAGGGGCTCACACCTGTAATCCCATCTCCCGGGACTTTGGGAGGCCGAGGCAGGCAGATCACCTGAGGTCAGGAGTTTGAGACCAGTCTGGCCAATATGGTGAAACCCCGTCTCTACTAAAAATACAAAGATTTGTCAGGCGTCGTTGTGGGCGCCTATAAGTCCACCTACTCGGGAGACCAAGACAGGAGAACTGCTTCAACCCGGGAGGCGGAGGTTGCAGTGAACTGAGATCACGCCACTGCACTCCAGCCTGGGAGACAGAGCAAGACTCCAACTCAAAAAATAAATGAAAAGGAGTCAATTCAGTGTGAAAAAGAGGTAGCATCTGGAGATGCCCGAACCTTGAGGCGGAAGTAATCATGAGAACACAAACTCCCCGAGTCACACACACACTCCAGAATTTAGAGAAATATTAAGGATAGCTTCACGTTCCCATGGTAACGAACTAGGGACTAAGCCAAGGAGCAGGAGGCCCAAATGGCACGTGGGTTATAGAAGTCAGCTATGGGATGCCAGGTTCTGACCACCAAAGGAACACCAGCAGCCTCAGAGCAGGCCCCTCCACGTGGAATCAGCCACTGCCCCATCCGCCTAGTTCTTATATGATGCCTCCTGATCAACCCCTTCCTGCTGTTGCTGTGGATGGCCCTCCAACTGGACCACGTGTGCAGCCCAGACAGGCCTGCTGTGTTGGCTTGGCCTGTGGCCCTGCCCTGCCCTGCCTCCATTTTAATCCATGTTGTGACATCCTGCCCAGGCATCTCCCTAGCATCCAACCTCAGCCTGTTTCCCGTTTGCTACTTCTCTGTCAAGACAGTTTATCTGGACTATGCCTTGCCCAACAGCCTTCTGCGGTATGGAAGACCTTGCACATGGTAATTAAGAAACACTAGTCTTTAGCAAGAAAAGCTGTAAACAAATTTCACACTCAAGATGAGGCTGCCAAGGCCAGGCACGGTGGCTCACACCTATAATCCCAGCACTTTGGGAGGCCGAGGCAGGAGGATCGCTTGAGCCCAGGAACTCAAGACTAGCCTCGGCAACATAGCGAGACCTCATCTCTACTAGAAATTAAAAAAAAAAAAAAAAAATTAGCCAGGCATGGTAACGCATGCCTGCAGTCCCAGCCACTAAGGAGGCTGAGTTGGGAGGATTGCGTGAGCCCAGAAGTTCAAGGCTGCAGTAAGCTGGGACTGTGCTACTGCACTCTAGCCTCCACTCCAGAGTGAGACCTTCTCTAAAAAACACAACAAAATTAAAAAGAGACAGCTGCAGGCTGACACAGAACTGACAGTCCACAAAGCACAAGGCCCATGTGCAGTCCTGTGGAAAGAACCTCGGCTCCTGGAGGAAACCACAGCACGGTTCTCCTTCCAAACTGCCTGAGTTTCAACTATACTTTCAAATATTCAGATAGTGAAAACAGGGTTGGTCTCTGTAAGAAATTTCAGGAAAAAAAAAAAAAAGATTTAAAAAAAATCTGCAAGAAGCCATCCCATAGAAATGAAATACTAATAAGGGGGATAAAGTTAGTTCCTAGGCAGGGATATGGATTCATAATTGCCAGAGTAACTTCCCCTAGACTGAGAAAGAGAATGTCGTAACTGTATTAGCAACCCGTCTGCTAGGCCTCCATCTTCTTTCTCTGCCTTTGCCTCAAGGGGAAAAAGAACAGAGAAAAAGATGGGGGAGAAAAGCAAGTGAGACCATGCAAGAAAGAAGCGTGGCTTAGAGTTCTAATTCATCAGCTTCTGAGGAAAGGAGATTAATTTTGACGGGAAGAGAGAAAGTGCTAAGCGTAACACAAGAAAGCACTTAAAATTACCGCAGGTCAGGAGGAAAAAAGAGCCTCTAGGAACTTCGCTTTCAAGCACTTTTCATAAGTAGCAAATTTATGAACAGAGAAGTTAGGTAAATAGCTCAAAGCTGCACAGCAAATTAATAGCAAGCCAAAACCGAGAATTCCTGAGCCCACTCTCAGGGGCCACAGTGGCTTCTCACCTTGGCTCTGATAAGAGAAGAAGCCCAGTTGACAGGGAAACACTTTGTGGCTTATGGGCATGACTGGATAGCCAAGAGCGCTGTAATGCTTAGCACCCAAGCACCAAATATGAAGGACTAAGAAAGGTTTTCCTTATGTTGTGCGGGGAGGGACACTGCGGGGAAGGAAAGAGATCCAAAGCTTCATGATGTGACACTTAAGACCAGTCAGTTTTAATAAGGGAGCTATTCATTTCTACCAGGAGCTCACGTCATGGCTGCTAGTGAGAAAGGCAGTAAGCTGCGATGTTCCTGTAATTAATGAGCTTTATTTTTCTAGAACAAACATGGTCGGGTGTGGTGGCTCACACCTGTAAGTCCAGCACTTTGGGAGGCCTAGGAAGGCAGATTGCTTGAGCCCACGAGTTCGAGACAAGCCTGGGCAACATGGCGAAACCCTGTCTCTACAAAAAATACTTAGCCAGGCATGGTGGCACATGCCTGTTAGTCCCAGCTATGTGGGAGGCTGAGATGGGAGGATCACCTAAGCCCAGGATGTCGAGGCTGCAGTAAGCCAAGATCCTGCCACTGCACTCCAGCCTGGCCCACAAAGTGAGACCCTGCCTAAAAAAAAAGAAAAAAGTACCACATCATATGCTGAGCCAGGTGCTATCTCTCACCTGGTTCTTGACACCTATGAGCCTGCGGGCAACGCTAAACTCTGCGGGATGGGGAAGCAGTCCCCAGAACCTCCAGGTAGGATCCTGCCAGCACACAGCGGTGAATACTGGAACAACACGAATGTCCAGCACGCCTGCGGCCCTAGCACGGCTTCTAAGTGTGGCTCACATGAAAAGCTAGCGAGGGACCACTGGCTCCAAATGTGATCCCCATTTATTTTCCATTCAAGACAAACCTTGTTAAGGATAAGGAAGGCATCCATGTTAATTCAGCTGCAGGTGAAAATATTCCAACTTGGACTGCCTTAAGGAAAGAGAGGCAAAGAGAAACAGGGAGATAGACTGGTTGTTTTTGGTCAAAGAATCCAAGGAAACGCTGAAGACTGAAGCCATGGGAAGGGCAGAAAAATGGTTATAGCTAAGGAGCCTGGGACCAGCTACCATTTCTGCCTCCTCCCGTGGGCCTCAGCCTCTCCTGCTGAAAGCAGATCTTCTGCAGGGTGCAGCACCGTGGCAGCTGCCAGCCCTAGACTTTCACAGTTTACAGCTCCCATCTCTGGAAAACAGGCACACAAGCTGCAGGAAGCAGACGCTGTCCAGAAAGGGTCAGATGACCCACCCCAGGGGTCACTGGTGCCTGAGGGCAGAGTCCCAGTGGCCAGTCCAGCACCACAGCAACCATGTGAACGGGGCTGCGCCAAGGGTCCCCAGTGAGCCTACAGGACCCACCTCCATCACACTGAGCTCCACGCATGAATGTGAACATACACCCAAACCAACCATTCATACACACCTCTCTCACGTTTCAGCTTCCATCCTGGTCTCTACCATGGGTATTACACTCGATAGCAAACTGGCTGAGTAGGGAAGGAGGAGGAGGGTAAAGAGGAGGAAGAAGAGGGAAAGAAAAAGCAGAAAAGGAAATTTCAGAACTGCAGAGACATCTTTATAGTGCTCACCTCTCCCCATCCAAAACACCTGTTACTGTGTACTTACCGGAAAACAGTGACTAAATTTTCCCAATTTGGCTTTAGGGCAGTTCTAAATTAAACTTTTATTTTTTGTGTTTAATTTCCTATGCTACTGCTCTTCGCAGAAATTGGTTGGGCTTAAATCCCAAAACCTTCAAGGAATTAAGCACAAAACTGAAAATATTAGTGAATATTTTCACTAATATTAGGGTGAATAAGATGCTGTGAGATACATCTTGACATATATAAATACTGTAGCAACAACGTACAGAATTACAGACAGCTAACACATGGCCGGGGATGAGTAAATGGGACCAATGGACACCAACAGTCTCCTCCTAAATGGATAGCAAGAAATTGCCAGGTCCAGATTCCATGTGGCACTGAGGGCTTCCAGAAGGACAGGACTGTAAGAAACTTATTAATAGATGAGTTGTCAGAAGCCTCAGAAAGCGAGCGAGGGAGGGAAGAGTGAGGGAGGCTGAGAGGAAAAAGAGCAGAAAAGTAACTAGGAATAAAAAACAAAAGGGGTCCAGTCCTGGGGACTCATGGCTGTAATTCCAACACTCAGAGAGACTCAGGAGGGAGGGTCACTTGAGCTCATGAGTTGAAGACCAGCCTGGGCAACATAGTGAGACTCTGTCTCATTTAAAAAAAAAAAAAAAAAAAAAAGGAGAAGGTAGTGAAAAAGAATCCATGTATAAAATGACAAACAGTAGTACAAAATTTAGATTTTCTTCAACATCTTCCCATATCTTCCCCCTTTAGAATACACACATTTTTGAGTCTCTCCCATCTTTAAAAACCCTACCCCTTTTGAACCTGTTGCCTTATTTCCAGCCAAGCTGTTGAAAGAGAAGCCAGGATCTGCAGGTCTCCACACTTTCCCACCTGGCCATGGTGCCTGGCTCTCGCCCTCCCTCTCTTTGCCCATCATTGTTGGCAAAAGCTTTTGGTTGTCAAATGCAATGGCTGTGGCCGACCATCCATTTCTTCCTGATGTTCTCATTTCTCTTGGTTTCCTGAGTACTCTTTTTGCTTTTCTAACTACTTTTTCCACATAAACTTGGAGGCTCCTTGTCCTCTGCTCTTTTTTTTTTTTTTTTTTAAGTTCTGAGGTACATGTGCAGGATGTGCAGGTTTATTACATAGGTGCAGCAAACCACCATGGCACACATTTACCTATCAACCCATTACCTACGTATTAAGCCCAGCAGGCATTAGCTTTTTTTTTCTAATGTTCTCCCTCCTCACACCCGGCCCCAGTGTATGCTCTTCCCCAGCCCCCCATCCTCTGCTCTTAAATGTTGAGATGCTACAACACTCATCCCTGCCCTCCCTTCTCCTGATGCTACCCACTCTATCGGAGCTGGGTGGAGACACTTGCGGAAAGGCAGGAGACTAGGAAAGTAGAACCCAGAGCCGGGAGGCACTACAGAGCCAGCCACCACTGTGGGTAAGGGAACCTCCCAGCCTCTGCTTGACTCTTTCTTCTGCCAAAAGGGAGCTCACTGCCCCGCAAAGAAATTCCCTTGCGATAAACTAGACTGGGGCAATCAGGAACAACACTGCCTGCAAGAAGCGATGGGAATGGAAGCTGCGTAAATGCACACCCATGTTGACCATCAAGAGTCATTTTGAGAGAATCTTTTCCCAAGAGGTTATAAGACTATGGGTTTAAGTAATAATCAACCTTCCTGCTTCATAGGTGGACCCAGAGGCCAGTTCTCCCAAAAAGAAGGCTGGAGCTCAGGTGGAGTTGAAGGCCATGTGCACCTACAGCTTAGCCACGTGCCATACACCGCAGCTCTTGCAGGGAGTGTGGTGATGTCACGTAGCCATCAGTCACTCTTACAAAACAGGGCAACAGCATGACAGTACACTGTCCCCTAAGTGTCCCTACTGGACGCATCACACTGCAAAACAAACATTCTGTGCAACTGGCAGGAGCCAGGTACCATTCTAGGTTCTTTCCTTATTATCTCATCTATTCCCAGAAATAGCGACTGTCTGTTTTACAAATGAGAAAACTGAGGCAAATTTATCCAAGGTCACACAGCCAGTTAAGCACATGACGCACAGCTCTGACTCGCAGTCCAGACGTGAAGTCCCTGTGCTTTCCACCAAGCCAACATGCCCTTCACTAGAGAACACATTTCTGAATGTGCCTATTTATACTGAGGCGGCAGACATCGACGTATGGTCATGAAAGGTCCTGTGGAGAGAGGTAATAAGCAAGCATTCATTTCCCAGCATCACACTCCACGGCATAAATGAGTCTCCATATCTTGGTATTAGGAAAAGAGAGGAAAGTGGTACCCATGGGAGAAAAATATGAATGATGCTAACAGAATGCAGCAAACCCAATAAATCCAGAGAATAATATTGCTCTGTGATCTCCGTAGCAGTTATGCCGGGACTGAGAACCATCTTACGAGAGTTCTTTGTGGAACTTGTTATATCGTAAAATCATCTCTTGATGCTAGAACATAAAACAATGTCTTTTTTATGTAAACACAACCTTGGGGAAACTGCAGATAACTGTGGATCTCTTTAGGATATTTTCTTCTGTCATACTGGGAGCCATTTCTTTCACTCACCAATATTTTTACATATTTGTAGAAACACTTCTCTTCCATAAATATTCAACATGAATCATAATGCAGAAGCTAAAAACTCAGATCTCCTCTAATAACTGCTTGGAAAGTCAGCCACTGGACACACATACACAGTCGTAATAAAATTTCTAAAGATGTTTGTGCTAGAAGGTAAAAACATAGCTTCCATTTACTGACATTCATTAATATTAATACCTATTGGCCTGAATTATACTAAAAGAGTTTTATTGAACACACAACTTCCAAATACGATACTACAGAATATAAGCTCAATCATTCTTTAGTTCATTTAACTAATGGTCATCATGTAACAGACATGCCTAGGTGTGGGAGGGATCCACATAAGTAAATAAGCTCTCATTAAATTTGCAATGCCATTATAGAGAAAACAGAAATACAATAATCACTATTATAAACTTAAATAAAAAGACAATATATGAAGTCTTCAAATAATATGAATGCATACCAAATGAGTAGTAAAGAAAATAAATGCTAGCAATTCCTAAGCAAGGAGGGTCAAATGGGTTGGCAGTAATGGGTAAACAGAAGCATGGCAAAGAGAAAAAAGAAGTACAGGGGGCCGGGCGTGGTGGCTCACACCTGTAATCCCAGCACTTCGGGAGGCCGAGACAGGCAGATCACTTGAGGTCAGGAGTTCAAGACCAGCCTGGCCAACACGGTGAACCCCCGTCTCTGGGTAATCTCTAAAAATTAGCCAGGCATGGTGGTAGGTGCCTGTAACCTCAGCTACTTGGGAGGCTGAGGCAGAAGAATCACTTGAACCCAGGAGGCAGAGGTTGCTGTGAGGAGGCGTCGTACTACTGCACTCCAGCCTCAGCAACAGAGCAAGACTGTGTCAAAAAAAAGAAAAGAAAAGAAAAGAAGAAGAAGGGGTGTATTATCAATAAAGCCATGTTCTGGGGAGAGATCAAGCAAGCTGGAAAATAATCAAATGTGAATGTAGAGATGCAGGACATAATATCTCTATCAATTAATAATCAATAAACACAATACCACAGTGGTTTACCTTTCAGTGATCAAAAAAACTTATTCACTTATTTCCTAACTCAGAGACTCAGGTCATACTTCATCCCACTCTTTTCAGCGAAAGCAACAAACTTTTCAAAGCTAAACATTTTAAAACTCCCTTAGACAGGCTGGGTGCGGCAGCTCACACCTGTAATCCCAGCACTTTGGGAGGCCGAGGCAGGCAGATCACGAGGTCAGGAGATCAAGACCATCCTGGCTAACACGGTGAAACCCCATCTCTACTAAAAATACAAAAAATTAGCTGGGCATGGTGGCGGGTGCATGTAGTCCCAGGTACTCGGGAGGATAAGGCAGGAAAATGGTATGAACCCTGGAGGCAGAGCTTGCAGTGAGCCCAGATCGCACCACTGCACTCCAGCCTGGGGGACAGAGCGAGACTCCATTTAATAAAAAAAAAAAAAAAAAAAAAAAAAAAAAGCACCTCCCTTAGACAAAACAAAATGGAACTATGTAACTAAAAAGTGAAGAACTGTCACGTATAGAAAGCAACACTCCCCTAGATCCCTTAGAGATCAGTGAAGTCATGTATCTTTCCATCATAAGGAAACACAGCAATACAAACTATAGGAAGAGTCAGAGAATCAAGGCAGGAAAGAAGGTTGAGGTCAAGAAGAAGTGAAATGAAAGTAATTTGTTCAGGGTAACTGTCAAGCTACAGAATTAATAGAAGTTATCAAAAGAACATGTTAGAACTACCCCAAATGCTACCGTTGATAGAAATACAGACAAAGAGTAGAAAGTGCCTTTAGAAGGCAACTAGATCTACATCTATCCATCCTCCCTGCTTTCTTCTGAGGCTGGCCGCAGCCAATGGCTCAAGCTCTAGGTCTTAGCCAATTAGAGTAAGAGTGTGTGGAGTAAGAGTTTGCAACCATGGTAGAATATCAAGAGATAGGAAGAACTTGGAAAAAAAAGAAAGAAAAAAGGACAATTCAAAAGAAAAAGTTGGTGAAACTATAGTAAGATTCAGCAAACCTTTTCTGTAAAATTCCAGATAATAAATATTTTAGGTTTTGAGGGTCATATGGTCACTATCACAACTACTCGATTCTGGTGTTACACTGAGAACGCAGACACAGAAAACAGCTAAAGCAATAAGCATGCCTGTGTTCCAATAAAACTTTATTTAAACAGGTGGTAGAAGACCCTTTTCCTGATAAAAACACTGAGGAAGTTAGGAATAAAGAGGAACTACCGTAACTCAATAAACAGCATCTGCAAAAAAGCCTACAGCTGACATCATATGTGATAGTTTAGTGAAAGGCTGAATGCTTTTCCCCTAAGATAGATACAAAGTAAGCATGTCTGCTCTCAATACTTTTTTTTTAAGGCTAGGGAAATATCCACAGATCACTACTTTTATTTAACATAATACTGGAAGTTCTAGCCACTGAAATAAGGCAAGAAAAACAAAAGGCACACAGATTAAAACTCTACTTCCAGGTGATAGGGTTATCTATGTAGAATATCTGAAAAAGTCTATGAGAAAACTTCTACTAAAGTGAGTTCAGCAAGGTTGAAAGATGTAAGATCAACATCCCAAAATCAACTGCATTTTTAAATACTATCAATGAACAGGTGGAAACCAAAATTAAAGATACCATATCATTTACAATCACTCCAAAGAAAATGAAAAGCTTAGGTTAGGTATGAACATAGCAAACATGCACAAGATCTATACACTGAGAATTACAAAACGCTGATGAAAGAAGTTGAAGGCAACTTAAATAAATGGAAAGACATGCTGTGCTCATGGATTGAAAGACTCAGCATAATAAAGACATCAATTGTCCCTAAATGCAATTCCTATCAAAATCCTAGCAAGGTTTTTCTGTTGACAGAGAGTTTATTCTGATGTTTATTTGGATGTTTATATGGAGTGGGACAGACCTTAGAACAGCTAAAACAATCTTGAAAGGGAAGAATAAGGTGGGAGGGATGACTCTAATATTAAGGCCTGCGATATAACCATCATAACCAAGACAGCATGACAATGTCACAGAGGGAGACCCATAGATCAACGGGAGGGAGTAAGGACCCAGAAACAGACCCACACAAATATGGCCAACTAATTTTGGACAAAAATGCAGAAGCAAATCAATGGAGAAAGGATTTCAACAAATTATTCTGTAGTAACTGAATATTCATCCATAGACAAAAAAAAAAAAAATGTTGCGAAAGGGAGTCTTGTGTGCACAGCCTTTCAGCCCCCACTCAGTGGCCTAAGAATGGGCCCTGGGCCTGAAACACATCTCACCAACAGATGAAGAGCCCTCATCACCTGTGGCAGGCTTATGCCTTGTGTGGAATACGTATCTCTCACTGCTGCAAGCTCATGTGTGCGCCTTTGTTCTGCTTAAGGGTGTGTGTCACATGGCACCTGGCCAACCTCATTGCTCTATCTGTTCCCCACCCAGGAAACAGGGTCCCTTAGTTGCAGTACAAGAGGGGTGCTCGTAGGCAGACCACCCCGTACGGGCAGCCACGAGGGACCCCTGGACACAGGGGACCCATACGCACTACTGAAACTGATCTTGCTCTGTCTCTTCTCTGTGTAACTATTGCTCCCTCGACTACCTGACTGTGTTGTGTTTTCCTTGGAGACTCTCGTACTGAGATACAGCGGGCACAAGTGTCTGGATCGTATTCCTGATGGTTGGCATAATGATGGTTTTTGCTAACCTCCATGGAGTGCCAGCCTTCCCTTGGAACTGAACACCAGTACACAGAGTTCTGTTTGACACAAATGAACCTCAAACTAAACATCAACCTCAACCTGAAACAAAAATTATCTCAAAATGGATCACAGACTTAAATATAAAATGTAAAACTACAGAACTTTAAGGAAAACAAAAAGCATAGGAAAAAATCTCCAGGATCAACGCAAGGCAAAGAGTTCTTAGACTTGACATGAAAACATGATCCATGAAAGGAAAAATTAGGAAGCTGGAACTCATCAGAATTAAAAACTTTTACTCTGTACAAGTCTTAAGAAAAAAAAAAAAAAAGAAAATTAAAAGGCAAGCTACAGCCTAGAAGAAAATATTTACAAACCACATATCTAACAGAAAACTAGTAATGAGAATATATAAAAGACTCCGCTGAAGAGTAAAGCAATAATTCAATTAGAAATGTTTAACGTCTACCAAAGACATTTAACGAAAGAGGATATACAAATGACAAACAAGCACATTAAAAGATCTTCAACATCCTTATCCACCAACGAAATAAAAAGTAAAACCATGATGAGATATCACTACATAGCTATCAGAATGGCTAAAATAAAACAGTGACACTACCACCAAATGCTAGAGAGGATGCAGAGAAATCAGATCCTTCATATGTTGCTGGTGGGAATATCAAACTGAAGAACTCTGGGAAACAGTTTGGCAGTTTCTTATGAAACTAAACATGCAATTATCACATGTAAGTGCCCAGCAATTGCACTCCTGGGCACTTACTCCAGATAAATGAAAACTTATGTTCACACAAAAACCTGGACATGAATGTTCATAGCAGCTTCACTCGTAACAGCCAAAGACTGGAAACAATCTAGATATCCTTCAATGTGTGAATGGTTAAACTGTGGTACATCCACACCAAGTAATAATACTCTGTAATGAAAAAGAACAAAGCACTGGTACATTAACCAACTGGGGTGAATCTCAGGGAATTGTGCTGACTGAAAAAAGCCAATCCCAAGAGGTTACATACTATATGACATCGTTTATGTAAAATCCTTGAAATGATGAAATAACAGCAATGGAGAACAGGAGTGGTCGCCAGAGGTTGCACATGGGCAGGGGGTGAGGAAGAAGGTCAATGTGGCTATAAAAATGCAGCACAAGGAATCTCTGGTGGCAGAACTGTTCTGTATATTGACTCTGTCATTGTCAATATCCTCGTTGTAATGACGTACTATAGTTTTGCAAGATGTACCACTGAGGAAACCAGGCAAAGAGTACAACAGATCCACAGAGTACAACAGTTTGTATTACTTCTAACTACTGCATGTAAATCTAACATTATCTCAAAATTTAAAACTTAATTGAAAAAATAGCAGGTCACACTTGGCCTGTGGGCTATTATTTGCCAACCCCTGGTTTACAGAAAGGTGCTAAAACTTTGTAACCCATTTCATCAAATGTGACTAGGTGACTCCAGATGCAAATTGACTAAGTTTCCAGAACTAACAATACCATAACCCGGCTGCCACGCTGTACTTAGAAACCAATCCAAATGCACTGGCAAAGATCAAAGACCCATAGGACATTTTTGCTCCCTTGATAGAAAGGTGGGCATCAGCTACCTAATCCTCTTATTTTCCCCAAAGTATTCATCATCACAGAATCTACATTCTTTCCATTTTCCAGTCTGATCCAAGACTCAAGTTGGCTTCAAAAGCATTACATAACCTGGCACCAATTTTATATCCTTGGCAAGATTTAACAGGGAGGTACCCGTAAGCACTTACCATATACATACCACGTGCTGTGATTAACAAACATATCAATATTTCAACGTTAAAGAGGGTGTGGTTTTGTCATGTTTCATTTTAATAAACTATGTGCATATATACCATGGAACTTCATGCAGCCATTAAAAAGAACATATTAACTCTCAGCAGACTAAGAGTAGAGAACTTCTTTAACCTGATAAAGAACATCACTTTGGTTTGAATGTGTCCCCTCCAAAATTCAGGTGTTGAAATTGAATTCCCAGTGTGATGGTACTAAGAGGAGGTACCCTTAAGAGGTGATTAGGTCATGAGGGCTCATCCCTCATGGATGAGAATAAAGCCCTTATAAAGGAGGCTTCACAGAGCATTCAGCTAGCTCACTTTTCTGTTCTTCTGCCATGTGAGGACACACTGTTTCTCCAATCCAGAGGAACCATCTTTGAAGCAGAGAACAGCCTTCAGCAGACAACTGAACTTGCTGACATGTTGACGGTGATCATGGACTTGCCAGCCTCCGGAGCTGTGAGAAAATACGTTTCTTTATAAATTACCCAGTTCTGTGGTATTCTGTTATCACAACACGAATGGACGAGGACAAACATCTATTTTTAAAAATCCAGAGCTAATATCATACCTAAAAGTAGAAACTAGATGCTTTCCCACTAAGTTCTGGAACAATGCAAAGATGTCCACTATTACTACTCCTATTCAGCATCATACTAGAAGTCCTAGCTAATGTGGTAAGACAAGAAAAAGAAATAAAAGGTGTACAGATTGGGAAGGAAGAAATAAAACTGTTCATTCACAGATGACATGACTGTCTATGTAGAAAATCCAGAAAACATCCTGGAACTAATAAGAAATTACAGCAAGGGTGCAGGTTACAAGATTAATATACGAAAGTCAATTATTGCCTTCCTATACCAGCAACGAACAACTGGAATTTGAAATCACAAACAAGACCATTTACATCAACATCAAAAAAACACGAAATATTTTGGTATTAATAAAATATGTGCAAGATCCCTAAGAACAAGACTAAAAATCTGATGAAAGAAATATATCTAAATAAATGGAGAGATAGTCCATGTGCACAAATAGGTAGATTCAATATTTTCAAGATGTCAGTTCTTCCCAACTTGATCTGGAGATTCAGTGCAACCCTATCATTGCAATCAAAATCCCAGCAAGTTATTTGTGAATATTAACAAACTGATTCTAAACTTTATATGGAAAGGGGGAAAAAAAGAATAGCTAACTCAATATTAAAGGAGAAGAACAAAGTCAGAGAACCGATGCTACTCAACTTCAACAATCAGCAAAAGAAAAGACATTTGTCTATTCTGACAAATGGATCATAATAAGGAGCCCAGAAATAGACCCACATAAATATGGTCAACTCATCTTTGACAAATGAGCAAAGGCAATACGATGGAGAAAAGACAGTCATTTCAACTAATGGGCTTGACCAACTGGACACCCACAGGCAAAAATAAATCTAGACACAGACCTTACAACCTTCACAAAAATCAACTTGGAATGGATCACATAGCTAAATGCAAAGCTATACAAATCCTAGAAGATAACACAGGAGAAAATCTAGGTGACCTTCGGTTTGGCAATAACTTTTTAGATACACGAAAGGCACAATCCATGAAAGAAATGGTCCACAAGCTGGATGTCATTTAAATTAAAAACTTCTCCTTTCCCAAAGATACTGTCAAGAAGATAAGAAGACAAGCCACAGGCTGGGAAAAAATTGGAAAAGACACATCTGATAAAGGATATCCAAAATATACAAAGAGCTCTTAAAACTCAACAATAGGCCACTCATGGTGGCTCACACCTGTAATCTCAGCACTTTGAGAGACCAAGGCGGGCAGTCTGCTTGAGGTCAAAAGTTCGACATCAGCCTGGCAAACACAGCGAAACCCCATGTCTACTAAAAATCCAAAAATCAGTCAGGCATGGTGGCACATGCCTGTAGTCCCAGCTACCCAGGAAGCTGACGCATGAGTATCACTCGGGCCTGGGAGGCAGAGGTTGTGGTGAGCCAAGATCGCACCACTGCACTCCAGCCTGGGCAATAGTGTAAGACTGTCTCCAAAAAAAAAAAAAAAAAAAAAAAAAACTCAGTAAGAAAACAACCCAACTGAAATATGGGCAAAAGATTTGAACAGACACATCACCAAAGAAAACATAATATGGCAAATAAGCTCAGGAAAGATCTTCATCAGCATATATCATTTGGGAATTGCAAATTAAAACAATGAGATCCCACTAAATGTCTGTGGAATAGCTAAAATCCAAAGCACTGATAACAACAACTGCCGGGAAGGATGTGGAGCAAGAGGAACCCTCATTTATTGCTGGTGGCAATGCAAAATGGTACAGAAGACAATTTGGCAGTTTGTTATGGAACTACATATACCATACAACCCAGAAATCACACTTTTGGGCATTTACCCAAATGAGTTGAAAACTTATGACCACACAAAAACTTGAATAAAAATTTTAATAGAGGCTTTATTCATAACTGCCAAAACAATTATAGATCCCCATGTAAGTGATGCACATATTTATTCAGTAGGTGAATGGATCAACTGTGGTACATCCATACAATGGAATATTATTGATAATAAAAAGAAATTTGGCTATCCAACCAGGAAAAGACATGAAGGTTCCTCAAATCATATTGTTAAGTGAAAGAAGCCAACCGAAAAGGCTATATACTATATAATTCCAAATATACGACATTCTGGAAAAAGCAAAGACTATGGAGACAATAAAAAAAGTTCAGTGGTTGCAAGGGGTTCTTGGGAAGGGGGAGATGGACAAATAGGTAAAGCACAGAGGACTTTTAAGGCAGTGAAGGCATTCTGTTCTGATACTGCAATGGTAGGTACATATCATCATGCATCTGTCAAAACCCACAGACTGGATGATAGCAAAAATGAACTCTAATGTAAACTACAGACTTTAGTTAATAATAATGTATCTATATTGGCTCATCAATTGTAACTAAAGCAAGACGTTAACAGGGGAAACTCAGGGAGGAGTGTGTATGGGAACTCTGTACTTTCCACTCAATTTTTCTGTAAACCTAAAACTGCTCGAAAAAAAAAAAAAAGTCATTTAAGATAAAAGAACATACTAAAGATATACCAGCTGAGCCAGGTGCAGCAGCTCACACCTGTAATCCCAGCACTTTGGGAGGGTGAGGTAGGCGGATCACCTGAGGTCAGGAGTTCGAGACCAGCCCGGCCAACATGGTAGAAACCAGTCTCTACTAAAAATACAAAAAAATAGCTAGGTCTGGTGACGGATGCCTGTAATCCCATCTACTCGGAAGGCTGAGGCAGAACAATCACTTGAAGCTGGGAGGCAGAGGTTGCAGTGAGCAGAGATCGCGCCATTGCACTCCAGCATGGGTAACAACAGTGAAACTCCGTCTCAAAAAAAGAAAAACAGATATATCAGCTGAACTGGAGATATTATGATGTACTATTAAGCAAGAAAAGCAAGATACAGAAAATACAATCTGGTCCATTTTTATAAAAAACCAACAATTGTGCGTGTGTGTGTATGATTTTATGAATACAGAGAAAGGTTTTGGAGAATGCTTTCTCGGGTCTGAACATTGGTTAGTTGGGAAATTGGAAAAAGGATAAAAATGATTCAAAATGTACAGATCAAACTTTGAGCAAAAATACAAAGTTGGCCGGGCAGAGGGGCTCACGCCTGTAATCCCAGCACTCTGGGAGGCCAAGGCAGGTGGATCTCCTGAGGTCAGGAGTTCAAGACCAGCCTGGCCAACATGGGGAAACCCTGCTGGGCGCCTGTAATCCCAGCTACTCAAGAGGCTGAGGTATGGAGAATCGCTTGAATCCGGGAGACGGAGGGTGCAGTGAGCCGAGATCATGCCACTGCACTCCAGCCTGGCCGACAGAGCAAGACTCCGTCTCAAAAAAGTTATTATATATTATTATATTAAGTTATATTAATAATTATTTTATATATTTTATATATATAATTGAAGTTTCAGCCATAAAGGCCCTGAAGCCAGGAGGAGCTATCTCAGCACAGGCACGGTAGGAGCAGGCACTGTCAGGCAGAAGAGTTGACTCTTAGCGCCACTGGGACAAGAAACCAGAGGCTGATAGCAGGGCGACTGTGTTCCTTCCTACTTTAAAACAACACATAAAGTAAACAATACAGTCCTCACTTTAAAAACTCTATCAATTTCCTTTACCAACCATCCGGCAACAGCGGAAGCAAATGTACACGCAAAATGAAGCCCAGACTTCAGCTCTTTCATAAATCTCCTTATTCTGAAAAAATAACTGCCAGGTTGTTAATGAACAAAAATAGTTCAGGCTTGAGTTCCATCGTTACGTTAAGAGAAATCCTTTGGTTCATATCTTACACTTGGAACTTCATATCCAAATTCACATAGCTTAAGTCAGGTGTGTGTCTCCCCAAAACTACTGCAGCAAACAGCTGCATAACCCTACTCATCCAAGGTCTAAACTGCACCAGAAAATAATTCTTGCCTTTTATTCCGCACATTGAAATAATTCGACAGAGCTTGTTAGTATGAGCATAAGCCTGAAGAAAAAAAACATTTTTTAAGTTATCTAGAGTGGGCTCCTGAAACCCCTCTTACATTCTGAGGATGGGCCACCAGGTGAAGTTTCTACTCCTGGTGTCAGGTGCTTTCCCAGCAACCTGCATGGGGCTAGCAGGGACAGACTGCCTGAGTGCCCTCTGTTATCAGGACCACCTGGACACCCTGGGGCTCTGAGAAGCACTCCTTCATGCTGATGCACACATCTCGGGGTGTGAGGAATGCTGAATGGTAAGCCAGACACCCCAGGGACCAGCAGAAGTCCCTGCAGAGGGCTCACTGGTAGATGAGGTGGCTCTTTGTAAACTGCCTCTCAGGAAGAGGTAAGGCAATGGAGTTTTCAGCAATGCAATGCCTTCTCGGGGGCTCTGTGACAGCCTACCATTCCATTCTGCAAACTCTTACGCGGTTTTCAACTGCTAACAACAGTGCATTCAAAATTTTTTACTTCAGGTCTCATTTTCCCCACGTGGAAAGCTATGAATTCCCTCAAAGTATTTCATTTTCATGACTCTTCCCTTCTGGGTACAATCTGTTAAAATATCAGATCTTTTCAGCAGGCCAAAGAATAATTTGTGGCCTCATCTGAACCATGCTTTTTAATTTTGCACATGACTTTTGACCTATGCAAAGTATAAAATACCTAATGGTAAACTAATTTTTTTAAATCAAAGGTAAAATACGAAAACTTTTTAAAGGAAAATTCAACACTAGTATTACTTTCCTATGGTAACATCTTTGAAAGAATTCATTTTATAAACATGCTCTGGGAAGACATCCGATGTTCCTAAATTTTGTATTTTAATGTATTTATAATCATCTAAATATACTGTCACCACATTTCTTCCTGTTTCATTATTACTAGCCTTCGCTGTATCATGATGCCAATTTAATATACTTGTTCAACAAGTTAGTGGATTAGGAATATACCCTGCTGAGAAACACTACAGATGCACTTCCATGAAAGGATACAAAATTCCTACAGAAATACAAGAAACCATGCCTTTAAAAAAAAAAAAATTGGGCAAAAGCCTATGTCCCCTTTCATAAGAGCCCGAGCTTACAGAAGAGGTACCAGCTGACCCAGAGGACACGCAGGTCTCTGGTGAAGGAAAAATCAATCATTTGGCATCATGAGTCAAAGTCATCGAGTATCTCACTGAACGGAGAGGGCATTTTGATAGGATATCCAGGAGAAAGCAGCTGGAATCTGAGAACTCTGATCATGCCAGCAGCTTCTATAACCAGGCTAGGAGTTCCGAAAACACAGCGGGGGAAATGACTACCACCAAGCACCAAATACAGGAAAGGGATTCTACCTTCATCTCCCCAAGGAGAGACACTGGAATGAAAGCACAAAACAGAGCCCCAAAGCCCTAGTTCCAGCTCCAACTCTAAGAGCAATCTAAGCTGAAACAGCCCCAAGGGGCGGCAGAGAAGTGGAAGAAGCCAAGTTTAGCCTTGAAAGCCCCAAGATGTTTTAGACAGGGCTGCAAGGAAAAAACATCCTGTGTCTCAGTCCGCCAGACTGCTATAACAATTTACCATAACCTGGCAGCTTATCAATAATAGGAGCTTCTTTCTCACAATACTGGAGACTGGAAGTCCAAGATCAAAGCGCTAGCAGGTTCAGTGTCTGGTGAGAGCCCAAATTCTGGTTCACGGACAGCGCCTTCTCACCATGTCCTCACATGGCCGAAAAGACTAGCTAGTTATCTGGGGTCTCTTTTACAAGGGCACTAATCCCACTCATGCGTGTTCCACCCTCATGACTAATCACCTCCCAAAGCCCCCACCTCATAATCCCCCATCACCTGGGGGGGTGAGGATTTCAACATGAATTCAGTAGGGGCACATAGGCATTCAGACCATAGCAACCTGCAAGGAAGGAGCTCAGAGCAGGAGCCAGCCTCGGGGTGGAAGTGGAGATCTGAAACACTGAGGCCAGCAGCAAATTACAGCAAGTGTCCAGCATTGAAGAGTGTCATTGGACAGGTCCAAGTCGCTGCTGTTCCCTAAACAGCGAGAGAATGAAATTCAAATTTTAGGTAGATGTTGATAATGCTCTGAACAGCTCAGGCAGGGGAGAGTGAAGACAGATCAGAGACCAATGAAGAAAAGAAGTCATCGGGGCTCATGGGAGGAAGGACAACTCAAATGTAGAGGTAAGGCTCAAAGATGACCCTGACTGCGGCTTCTGGGATTTGAGAGGAGAGCAGTGCCACTGAGAGAGGTTGGGAAATTAAAATATGTAGTCAATCTTTTGGAAACAAAATGCTAAGTTTGGTTTTAGATCTGAGTTCAGGCTTACAGCATCTCGTATTTGGAAACAGAAGGGCAGAACTTTCACAAGGTGAAATGTAGCTTTCAGACGAGGGTGGTTGGAAGCGTGAGAGAAGAAAGCAAAGCCATGGCCAGACTCTTACCCTTCTGACTTCTTACCTCTTTTAGCTTAAAATGTGCTAAGGAATTCCAGTGGAAATGGTGGAATTGCTACCTGATGACAACTCAGTGCCTCACTAGCAATCTCACGCAGCTAACACGATCCACTCCTATCACACGATCCACTCCTATCACATACGTTTTCATCTGGCTGCAGAAATTCCATCTAGTTAATAAAGTTTTCTGATGCGATAGGAAAAACCAGTAACATAACCACAAATGTAGGCCGGAGCCCCCAAACCCCGATGCTTCCTGTACCCTTCAGTGCACTGTGCTCGTCCCCATTACTCCAACAGTTATGGACTTACCGATTATGTGCCATAATACATAACATGCGTGTGTCTGTTGGCATGATACTGCTCAGAGGAACCCTGGCCTCTCAAACAACTCAACAGGTTATATGCTACAGTCTTTCAACAAGTATTTATCATCAGCTTACTGTGTTCCGGGTACAAAGAGTAAGTCAATTCCTGCCCTCAGTTCATTGTGTAGTGCTACATATCGATGAATATTGTGATGCTCTCAAACTTGGAGTTTATGATGTGAGGAAGATAAGAGCAGCATGTAGAAGATCCACAACTTTCATTCATCATGCACTGACATCCTGAAAGCATCTCTTGTAGAATTCAGTCTTCCATACATCCCCAGAGGGTTGCCGATGTCAGCTGAAACAGGAGGGCAGGGCCAGCCAGCTGCTGCTGCTGCTGCATGGGAAGGAGCCTGGCCATCTGCCAAGGAGGAACGGATGATTGATGGCACGCTGCTGGGACCCATGCAGGAGCCAGACCAAGCTTAGCAAAGAGGCTTCCACTCTGGTCCTTGCTGAGGGCCTGGCGGCCACTCACCCTCATAAGACCCATGCCCCAGGCTGATGTCTCCTCCCCCAGCCAGGCTCCCACTCCTTGCCTCAGCTGTCCTCCTTTCCTCCCTTCCCCCACCCAACGCAGGGGCTCACAATAACTCCTGAGCCTGAAGATCGCAGGCCAAGGCCCCACGTGGACTGCACTGAGCTTAATGACCTCTTCCCCACCACTGCTGCAGATGCCTAGCAAGTCTCTGCTCAGAGATTTAAAGATGAGGGGTTCCCCACCCTTCATCCTGGCCAAAGTCACAAAAATAACTCAGGGAAAAGTTCAGAGAAATCAGCCAAAATCTATCACCACTACTGGAAAAACTCGGAACATGCCCCATGGACAATGGGGCAGCTCTGTTAACTTCTCTGTATCATGATGGTCACACGAAAAGATGACATTTCTGGTCTTTGTTCTCAGGCATTAACCATATTCTTCCCAACGTTCATAAAACACTATTGACTGCACTCTTGGTGAAGTGCTGTGAGTTCTTGGTGGGCAGCACTCTTGGTGAAGTGCTGTGAGCTCACTACGTGGGGAGATGAGACAGATTGTGCGAGTTCCGTGCAATAAGACATCTAATTAGCAACGCAAGATGCCATAGAAAGGATTCATAAAGTAGTACATAGCTATTTGTCCAGTAGAGAAGAAGGAGATCACTTAGGTTGGAGAGAAAAAGGATGGGTTTCCGGGAGAAGGGGAATTAGAGCAGGGCAAATTTCAAGGATGCTTCCTTGAAGATAAGGATATATGGACAATACAGGTCTTTCCTAAGCAGGCCTTTAATAGACATTTAATGAATGACTAAGTAAAAAGATCCAAGTGTGCAATCCACGCTATGGGTATGGTCGTGTGAGCAATACAGAGGCAGAAAAGTGAAACACATTAGGCAGAAGATGGGGTTCTACAGGGACACAGTGGAGAAAAAGACTGGGAAAGCAGGTAAGGATCACATTGTGGGAGGTACAGAATACCCTCATCCCAGGGACTTCAGGGAAACACTAAACGTTCTGGAACAGGTTGTAAAATCAAAGAGCTCTGGGCAGGATGCAAAGAGGGGAAATAACAATTCTGTATCCTACAATTTAGAAATTAATCACACATTGGGGAAAACTTTTCTAAAAGGAAAACTGTTTTCTATCATTTTCTTTTAAAAATCAACGTACATCACTCACAATACAAGAAATACACATAATGCCTTCTACATAATAGCGGAAGGAATTTGTCCTCAAAGATCTGTTCTTTGTATAAATGATGCCATCACAATTGATGCTTCAATAAAAATGAATATTTATGAAATGTAAAATGACTTGGATTAACTTATTCCGATTTCACTCTCTAAATTTTGATTTTTCAATCACGCCAAAATGTAGATTTTGATTACAAAAGCAAGTTGCAGAAAAAAGATGTACTTGACAAGAAAGAGCAAAATTGAAAAAAAAAAAAACTTCAAGTAAGTATGACAAAAGATGACAGAAAGGTGGTCAATTAGACTAAAAACAGCGAGACAGATCATCTTCAAAGTGGAGTTATGTAATTCACAAATGCAGTCACATTACAAGAAGCAAGTTACAAAAAAGCATCAAAAGTCTATGTCTTCCATCCATCCTCATTACACAGCCCCCTCCTCAGCCATTAATTTCTTAGCTATCCTTTCAAAGTTACTCTATACATATTATTTTCCCTTCTGTTCACAGAAAAGTTAGCATACTGTATATATACACTGTTGAGACTTTGCTTTTTTCACTTAATGCTACATCTTGGCAATCCCTCCATACCCATTCACACAGATGTTCCACATTCTTTTTTACAGCTGCATATCCATTGTGACAATGAACTGTAATTTATGTAACTAGCCACTACTGATAGGCACCTGGGTTGTTTCCAGTCTTGTGCTATTGCAAACAAAGCTGTAGTGAATAACCTGGTGCAGTCATCATTTGGCATGCATAGCAGTTATGTCCAGACGATAAATTCCCATAAATTGAATTCCTGGGTCAAAAGGTATATGCATTTGAATTTTTGATAGATACAACCAAATTGCCTTCCATAGGAGTTGAGCCAATTTATACTCTTGCCAGCCATGTACAAGAGTGTATTTTTCCTTAAGAATTTACCAACACAGTGTATCGTCAAAGTTCTGGATTTCTGCCAGTCTGAAACATGAAAAATGGTATTTGCATTCTCATTATAAGTGAAGTTGAGCATCTTTTTATATGCTTAAAAGCCAATTGTACTTTTCTGTAAACGGTCTGTTCATAACCTAACGTCTATCTTGCCAATGGATGTTGGTGTTTTTATTTCTAGAAGCTTCTTATATAATTAAAAAGATTGGTCCTTCACCTATGATATGAATTGCAACTATTTACCATCGTTTGTCTTTTGGCTTTGCTTATGATGATTTTTGCCATGCAGAAGAATTTTACTGTGATATGATCTAATTTATCAGTCTTTTTACTGTGATATAATCTAATTTATCAGTCTTACGTTTTCCGATTTTCAAGTCATGGTTAAGTCATGGCTTTCCTCACACCCAGATTATAAAAACATTCTGTTCTCATACTGTTTCATTTTTAACAATAACCTAAATGGAAAAAGAGTATAGGAGTTAAGGCCAGAAACTCTATAGCCAAACTGACTACGTTCATATCCCAGCTCCACTACTCATTAGCAATGTATGTTGTTTAAACTGCCTAACATCTATGGGCCTCAGTTTCCACATCTATAAGTGGTGATAACAGTTACTACTTCTTTGGGTTACCGTAAGGATTAAATGCATTAGTAAATTACTACAGTGCCTGGCATACAAGACACTTAACAAGTGTGAGCTATTATCGTCATATATCTGGAATTTATTCCATCAAACACTGAAATTTATCCTGGCTTACGGTGTAGAGATCCAACCTTTTTTTCCATATGGCTACCCAGTTGTCCCAATACCATTTATTGAATATTTCACCTTTTCCCCACTGACTTGAGATACCACCTTTATCAAATGCTGCATTCCCTTATGTATTTAAGAACTTCTGATCTTTTTTCCTCTTTTGTAGTTCTCGAATTGCTTTGTCTGATCACACTGGCTGTACCTACAATGTAAAATAATAATCTATCATTCAAAGTAGGCCAATTCATGTTATAATCCAATTTAGGTGGCCTGGGAGAAATTAAACATTAAGAAGTTTAAAGGTTTGAATCTTACCTTCTTACAAAGTATAAATCAACGACTAGATCACACTTAATAAAAAGGTGGAAGTTTCCTTAATACAAAAAAGGTAGAATTTATTTTTAAAGGTGGGATTAAAACTAAGATAACACCAAAATTTTGCTAACAGTGCACACTGTAAAAGGTACTAGGCTGTTCTCACTCCTCGTCTTGGTCTGAACATCAGTGGAAATCTCAACGTTTCTTCATTAAGCCTAAAATGGGCTTTTGGGTTCAAATAGATATGCTATGTCAAGGAAATAGCCATTTATTCCTGCTCTGGAATTATCTGCTCTTTAAATATTTGGTAGATAATCTTGGTGAAACTAGACAATGCTTTGAGAGGAGGTAACTCTTTCATAGCTTTATTTCTTCTATAAAAATCAACCTGCTTAAATTTTCTACCTCTTCTGGGGTCAATCTGGATTACTTATATTTTCCTAAAAATTATCATTTTCATCAAAGTTTTAAAGTTTATTTTAAAAGAGTTCAGTAGTCTCCTAACATTCTTCAAATTATCTGTTTTTATGATCTCCTCTTCTCAGGACTTATTTTGTATATTTGTACTTTCATCTTTTTCTTGAGACTACCTCATTGTTTACAAATGTCATTAGTGTAGTTCAATTTTTTTTCAAAGAGCCACCTTTTGGATTAATACATTGTTCTACTGTTTTTTTCTATTTAAAGTTCTTAAAAGAGAATACCTTCTGATGGTGCTCTACATCTGTTTTTAACATGTTAGTGCCCAAAAAAAGCACTGTAACAAAAAAATACAATGAACACTAAGAATGTAAACGCAAGAAAGCCAAGATAGAATCAAACTTGTCAAAGTTATTTTAAAGGACAGCTCCAAATCCCAAACACCTGATCCCACTGATACTCTATAAAAAGGTAAGATTCATTCCCAAACACAGATTAGCAATGTTTCCAATACGCAAAAACAAGTTCCACATGAAAGACGGCCTTTGTGTTAGTCTGTTTTCACACTGCTATAAAGAACTACCTGAGACAAGGTAACTTATAAAGAAGAGAGGTTTAATTAGCTCACAGTTTCACAGCCTGTACAGAAAGCATGGCCAGGGAGGCCTCAGGAAACTTACAATCATGGCAGAAGAGGAAGCTGGCACATCTCCACACAAAGGAGCAGGAGAGAACGAGAGAGCGCAAAGGGGCAAGCTACACACTTTTAAATAATCAGATCTCGTGAGAATTCATTCACTCTCACGAGAACAGCAAGGGGAAAGTCCACCCCCCGCATGTTTCAATCACCTCTCACCAGGCCCCTCCTCCAACAGGTGGGAATTACAATTCGAAATGAGATTTAGGTGAGGACACAAAACCAAACCATATTGGACTTTTACAATAATTACAATAATTCACCGGAAATAAGATCAGTTCTGACTGTAAGGAACCCACATCTTAACAAAATGGAAGGCACTCTGAGGTTTTAATTATGAGCCTTCTACCTGCAGCCTATTTTGAACAATACAATACCAATACACTTCAACAAGTATGAATTCCCCTTGTCCCTCATTCCCAAGTTCTCAGAGTATTGCTTGGTGGTCAGGCACTGAAGCACAATGAGACCATCTCCACATACAGGGCAAGACACATTGCCGTGTGCCCTACCAGCCAGCCAGCACTGCCCAGATGCCCCCTAACCTGAACACAGCAGGCTGCAAATGAGGCAGTCCAGGGCAGGTTCAGTTTTCACCACTCACCCAAGTAGGCCTGTTCATGTTTTGATCCATTTTAGGTAGCCTGGGATAAATTAAACACTGAAAAACTTTGAAGGTTTGACTCTTTCCTTCTTGCAAGGTGGAAATCTTGGTCACAGTGTGTAAAAGGGTGGAATTGTCCTTAAGAATATAAAAATGGTAGGATGAACGCTAAGATGGTAATCCTTAACACCTCAAGTATTTGGTAATGGTACACACCTGATACTAGGCTTATCTAAACGCACTAAAGAAACAGGCCTTCTGCAGTCAAAAGGTGATGCTTTTGTCACGCAACTTTTGAGGGTCAGGGTACAAATAAGAACAGACATGGATGGAGGTAATATAGAGAAGGGAGGAGTTGTTAAACAGGATCCAAGTTGCAGTGGAGGTGAATTCCACATTCAGAACAATACTAAATCCTTAAGTTTCAAGTTTACAGCTACTGAAACCCACTGAAGAGGTAACACTGCCCATTTCTGGAGCCAGTCAGGGCTTTCAGCAACCTCTCAAGGCTCAGAAGTGGAGACTGGAACGTCCACAATCTAAATTTCACACACTTTTTGTGGAAAAAGTTACAACAGATGAACAATAAGGACATATGCATTGTAGGCTTGGCCCTACACCAAAAAAAAAAAAAAAAAAGTTTACTGGCCCAGATACAGAGATGTGTTGGTGTACCAAAAACACTCACAGCTATATGGAGACAGCAGAGCCTGGAAAAGAACCAGGTCCTGAGGTTTTGCAGTTAAAAGTTATGATGGGGATAAGAAAAAAATTGTTGGCTCATTTCTGAAATGTTTGCTCATCTTTTACCAAAAATGTCATTTACATATTAGGAAACTGATTGGGAAGACTTTGGTTAACATAAAGCCAAAGTAAATTTTGGTCCATCTTGACCTTGAACCAGTTTGGAAATCTGAACAAGAGTTTTTGGATTATTTGGGTTTTTTTTTTTTTTTTTTTTTTTTTGGTGTATGGGAGGGCATAGCAAAGACACGGCAGTGTGTGAACGGGAAGTATAGCACAAGCTGAGGAAGTCTGGCATTTGAAAAGTATCGCCTTTAAACATGCACGTATAAATTCCTGCCTGTAAAAGAAAGAAAAAATTTTAAGATGCATTTATAAGTTTTAGATAATCTGGTTATATTTTATAAATCTATATATAAGTATAGATGTTTACTAATCTAGATTTGTTTCAAAACTCAATCTCTGCATTTGAATCAAAAATAAACTTTTACGGCTGAGTAGCAGGTGAAATGATGGGGAAACCAGGAAACAGAAACTGCTAATTCGATTAATAATAAGCCAGTCACACAATTTCTAAACTGCCTCTAATCCAAAAAACCTCTACCTTTTCTAATCTCATACTGATTATTCTACGAGATGACAAACTCTCAATATGACCTCCTCCTATCCTCAACAATTCTTGAAGGAAAAGAAAAAGAAACTTCTAAGGAAATTTTTTAAATGCTGAATTTCTCTGGCATTGAGCCATGTGTAGATTAAACATCACTTAATCCTCCAACAGCTCTAAGGCAGTGGTTTACAAGCTACAGCGTACATTACAATCACCTGGAGGACTTGTTTTAGAGATTGTTGGGCTCCACCCCCAGAGCCTCCGATTCAGTAATGGGGGAACGCCCACCCAGGTGGTGATGCTGCTGCTGCTGCGGCAGGTGGGGGCACTCTGAGAAGCGCTGCACTAAGGTAATATTAACGTGTGGCCCTCGTTCTGGGAAACGCGTGCTGTCTGCAGCAGAAATTGCCAAGATTTTGAAAACTTTTATAGCAGTTTACCATTACATGGCATCGAAGCACGTGAACATTTTTCTAGTATTTCACCCTTATTGTATTTTCCCAAAGTACTGATGTGAGAACGACTAGAAAGTTGTCCAAGTTTGTGGAGCATCGCTTTAAGCTGACCCAGCATACGGCAGCCCCTGCCCCTGGGGACAGCGGGGCCGACCTAGGGCACGAGGGGTGACTAGGGGTGACTCTTTCAGCCAGAACACTGGCCTGAGACGCAGTTCCACACTTAAGGTTTTCATCGTCTCGTCTCATTCCGGCATTTCCCGGGACAACACTCGCACCAGCCCCGCTGCAGGTGCCCTGGGTCCCGGCGGCCGGCGCAGAGGAGACAAGAAAGGAGGGCGCAGGCACAGCGCCGCGGGCGCCCGCGAGCAAGGCCAGACCCCAGCGGCACATTTCCTGCCCAAAACTTGGGGCCGCGACGGTATGCACTCCGGGTAAGTGAGACCGATGCACTAGATTCCTTCAGAATGCCCAGTTTGGCTCCAGAAGATGACGAGCCAAACAAAGACAAAGGGACGTCAGTGGACCCCAGCGTCTCCCCGGCCACTGCCGGCGCCCCTTCGCGCCTGCGCAGACCCCCACCCCGCGACCCGCCCGAGGCCAGCCCACGGCTTCCTTCCGGGCAGCGGGCGCGCTGCCGCCGGGCAAAGGCGCGCATGCGCAGCGTCGCCGCCCGCGCCTTCCGTGTGGCCAGTGCTTACCCGCTACAGGGGTCTGTTCCTTCCGGCCCGGCAAGGCCTCCTGGGGGCTGACGATGTTCGAGGCCGAGTTGCCCATCCTCGGGACGGGAAAGAGGCTGTGGAGGAGGAGGAGCTGGCAAGCCCTCCGGGTGGCCGAGAGCATGGGAGGGCGCCAGCCGAAGGGTGGTCCCGGGGGACGGCGCTACCGGCAGCGGAGCCGCAGCCGGAACGGCAGAGAGTGGGGTCCGCGGCCGGAACCGGGGGGCGGCAGGGGCGCGGGCGGGCGGGCGCGGGGCGCTGCTGGCGGGGCTGGAGGCCGCCCGTAATCGAGGTTGCCCAAACCCGGGGCCGTACCGGCTGTCACCGGGGGCGTGTTCCTTCCCTGGACAGGGGGTGTGGCCCGGCGAGTTCCTGAGGTTCTCTCGGGACGAAGTTCTCGGACAGAGAACAAGTGCGCTCCTGTCGTACGAAGTACGTGAAGCTGCAGAGGCCAAAAAACACGCCGAGCCCTTGGGGATGCGGTTTGATTTTAAAGTTGCTGCCGTGTCGCCCCGACTTCGCAGTTTAGCAGTACCCAGTAAGATAGAAGAGGACCTGCCTTGCAGCCAGCTAGACTGTCAGTTTTTATTGGAGACATTGTCATGACGGCCATCAGAAGGGTTGCTATTCGTCCAAAGTGAAAACTAAGCACAGTTCTCAAAATGCGCGGAATAGGGAAGATGAATTCAATATTAAGTTATGTATTTACAAACATATTTAAGCCCATTTTGCAGCGGCCAAAATACGGGAGCAAGGCACCAACAGCACCATTAAGGCAGTGTAGGTGGACTTAATGGTGGTGTTGTATTATTCTTGTTTCTCAAATCATAGGAGATGACATTTGTTCCTGTGACATTCTCAAACTAAATGTAAAGTGGTTGGAGCGAGGTGAGTGACTTGGGAGTTCATCTGTGTGAGATTTTGGCTTAACACATGTTCTGCCAAAATGGGCAGGTCGTCTCAGATGAGGGAGGGAACTTCAGATTAGCACCCACAGAAAGGAGGCTTTCACCCAGCTTCTTGCATGGATTTAGTTACCACTTTGTTTTCATGTGGTCTGGACTGTAAGGAGGGCAGGAGGCTTAGCAGTGCTATAGTGTAGAATGAGGTGTGTTGCCAGGCATACAACACTAAAAAGGCTCTAGCTTTGATTTTGTAATTTGTATTTCCCCTGGACAAAATGATACCTAAACTGTTTGTTATTGCTATGAGGCTATACCAAGTCGGTTCCACAGGCCTTTCATGAAAACACCCCCAGGAGTCCCTTCTAGGCTTGCGAAGGCCTGGTCACTATTAAGGGTCTGAAAAAATAGTCATTCTGTCAAAGACAATATTTTGTGTTTTTCAGTTACTTCTTTTTGATACATACTGATTTGTCTGTGTTTTGTGGTTGATTGTATGAAGTTTCACATGCTAGAAATACTCTGCAACTAAGAGCTGAAGAATGTTTAGTGTGAAGAAATAACTTACTTGGCATGATGGCTCACTCCTGTAATCCCAACACTTTGAGAAGCTGAGGCAGGAGGATTGCTGGAGGCCAGGAGTTTGAGACGCCATCTTTACCAAAAAAAAAAAAAAAAAAAAGGTATTTAAGTAGTTGGGCATGGTGGTGTGGTAGCGCACACCTGTGGTCCCAACTACTTGGGAGGCTGCACCAGGAGGAACGCTGGAGCCAGAGAGGTAGAGGCTGCAGTGAGCTATGATCACACTGCTGTGCTCCAGCCCGGGCAACAGAGCAAGACCTTGTCTCAAAAAAAAAAAATTAATTTTGATGTTAAATGAAAAAGTAAAACAAATGCAGTGTGCGTGTATACATGTAGTATATATGAAAATGCATGTACTCCCAGTTGCACAGCCACTGAACAATTCGAAAAAAATGCAATTTTTTTTGTTCAGAATAGTGGGATTCTACTGCTTTTCATTGTCTTTAAACTGTTTTAAGTGTTCTGTATTGTTACAACGTTCTCGAGTATTCCAATGGCTGTTACTTTTATAATTATAAAAGAATAAGCATTTTTAAAGAACAGATATATCTTATTTCAAAAACAAGGGTTTTTCGTTTACCAGAATAGCTGCAAGAAAAGTTATATTAGTTTCTTTGGTGTTTTGAGGAAAGAATTGAACATTTTTGCCTTCAGTGGTGCCTTTTTCACCACTAGGACTTCCTTTTCTTCAGACATTCCCCCTAATCCAGCGGTCCCCCACCTTTTTGGCACCGTGGACGAGTTTCGTGGAAGACAGTTTTTTTCCACAGATGGGGAAGGGGAGATGGGGGATGGTTTCGGGGTGAAACTGTTCCACCTCAGATCATCAGGCATTAGTTAGCTTCTCATGAGGTGTGTGCAGCCTAGATCCCTCACATGCACAGTTCACGATAGGGTTTGTCCTCTGATGAGAATCTAATGTCGCTGTTGATCTGACAGCCACATCTAACTTGGGAAGGTGGGAGATGAGGTTCTCTTGCGGAGTGACTATAGATACAACTAATACTTGGATATTTGGCAGTTCTAATAATAAAACAGGAATGTTCTTTGGACAACTGTGACACAATCTACTCCTCTGGCCCCTCAAATATCCATGGATACCCTTGTGACACATAGAACACACCCTGTTTGAAGAGAGAAAACCCAGCATTCTAAGCAGTTACTGCATCCAGCTCAGCGTCCATGATCTAAAGATGTAACAGTCCCTTACAAGTCTGATATAACTCCTCATGGTCCAATGACCTACAGAGTAAATTATGTTATTTATTCCCCTTTCTCTTCCCCACACAGCCAGTATGCAGTGGTGAAGTAGGGCACGAAAACTAATTTGGAAGAAGAGTGAGGACAAAATAGTAGTTCTTTGTCTAAGCGAATGTGAAGAGCAGATTAGACTACAAAGGTAATGAAGTAAATTCTTGGTTAGACCCCAGTTCTGTTTTCCAGGAGGAACTCTGGTTTGTTGCATCCAAAGGTACTGTCTTTACCCATTGGGAGGTTCTTACCCATGATCTATGATTCCATCTGAAGGGCATGCTAAAGAGTGTGCTCCATGAGAGGCTACACATCTTTTTATATCCAGTTTCTTACTGGTGCGCTTTTGAGGGACTGTGGGTTACTTTAGTAGGGTCAGATAGACACAGGCATTGGCAAGCTAGGCTTAATAGCTTCTTTGTCAATTCAATTTTTAAAAGATACCGAATGGATTTCTTATCTGTTTGTTCCTTGTATAGTTCCTTTTACAAATAACCACAGATAGAGATCTCAATTAGTCATATTTCTTATGCCTAACTACTCTTCATTTTTATTTACGAGACTCTCTCATATCTCCTGTACCTACTAACTTAGTGGCTATATGCTTGCACCCAGCAAAAACAGCAGTCATGGTTAGGAAGGCAGTGCCCTTAATATGACCTCTATTGCTTGTCTGGGTTCCACTGTCCAGCAGAGAACACTTTGCTGATGGCCTTTGAGAAGTGCCTTGGGTCACAGTTTTATCTTACACTGTCAGAAGTGTAATAGCTTTTGGCTTTATCAGAACTAGAAGGCTTGAAATCACCACTCAGTCAATTTGTATTGCAGACTACAGGCAGAGAACTCCATCTTAGTATGACTTTATTTCCTTCCAGCTCTGTTAACAAAATGACTAGTTTTTACCTGAGTTCATCTTTCTCAAAGTACTTTGCTAAAGAGACAGGAAGAAGGCAGTACTGTCTCACTGACCCAGAGATTCACTCCCAACCATTTTCCCTGCTACTACAGATTCAAAGAGCAGGTAGTCTGCCTGCTAAGGTACTGAGTTGACAATTTTATCAAATGTCTTGTGGCGGGGGAAAAAAAAAAGGAGGGGCTTGGTCACCAGCTTTTCACCTGTAATACCTGTGCTGCCTGTCAGTTAATTAATACCACATAATTTAGGTTAATGTCATGGTCTCTACAGAAAATCTGGAGCTAATACTGGTTTAGCAACATTGCAGCTACAAAATCTATATGCAAAAATCGTATTTCTATAAGACAAAATAATGGAAATCAAAATTTTAAAAATACTACTTATTTATTAACATCAAAAATATTTAAAATTTGTATCTGACTGAAGATATGTTAGACCTGCACATCAAAACCGCAAAACATTGCTAAGAGAAATGTAAAAGACCTAAATAAATGTGGAGCTATACCATGTAGGTGGATCCGAAGCCTCAGTATTGTTAAATGCCAGTGCTCTCCAAAATGACCTATAGATTCAACACTGTCTCAATGAAAATTCCAGCAGGTTTTTTAGTAGAAATTGGCAAGCTTATTCTAAAACTCAGATGCAAATGCAGAGGACCTACTACAGCCAAAAACTGAGAAGTCCAGTTCCAGTCCAAAATCACGGCTGACCATGGCAATTGTAAAGGCTTTGCCTAGCAGACCTTAGAGGGGAAAGCTGCCCTACTCACACCAGATGTAGAGCACAGGCAGTGAACTGCAGTCTCTGAAGGAAGTTGCAGTCAAGGACTCAGGCCTTACCCCAGGCCAGCCATGCTTATCATTATATCTGCATTTTGAGCCCAGAAACCTTCATTTGGAGGCCTCTGTATTGGGGGACAGGGTGCAGGAGAGTTGTTAAGACATTTCTCCACTTTGAGTCAGTACTCATAGGTCTTCCCATCCTCCCTCCCTCCACCTCCATAGGACAGCAGGAGGCTACCTGAGTTCAAGATTTGCTATAAAGCTATGATATCCAGGAAAGTGTGGTGTTGACCACAAGAGACATAGGTTAATGGAACAAAACAGTTAAAAAAAAAAAAAAAAAAAAACACCTTGCACACACATGGTCAGTTTATTTTCAACCAAGGTGCAAAGGCAGTTCAGTGGCTTCTAAACTTCAAAACTCTTCTGTTGTTTCTAAACTGCCCAGTCTGTGGGACTCTTTTATAGCAGCCTGATAGACTGAGACAGTGAGAAATGGAGCTTTTATTGTGTGTAAGCCACTAGGGTTTTGAGTGGCTCAATGGTTCTTAGACATCGGCATACACCAGAATCACATGGAGGGTTTATTAAAACAGATTGCCTGGTCCCATCCTAGAGTTTCTGATCAAGTAGTTTGAGTTAGCCCTGAAACTTTGCATTTCTGACAAATTCCTAGGTGATGCTGACACTGCTGGTCCAGGCAGCAAACTTTGAGATTTATTGTTCTGGTGGAACCCACACCCAATATCCTGGCCCTCAATAAACATGCCTCTAGAGCCCCAGAATCTCTGATTGTTCTCAGCTGCCTTCACCCATTCCGGATTGCACACTGAATCCAAAACTAAAACTTAGCTCAGTGTTGAAGCTATCATTGCTGAATATAAAGAAGTTTGGAACATAACCAGAAACCATGGGAAGAGCTAGGAAATACAGGATATTCAACAGCACCTGATAGAATCTGTTGGACCCTCAAAATCTAAATTCTAGAACCTGAATAAAAACTTCTCTTTGCGATAGTCTATGATTTTCAGAAATTACAACTAAAACCTTTAACATTTTTTTTTTGAAATCTACATCACATTAAGCTCTGATTATTATTATTTTTTTTTTAGTCATTGCTCTTCATAGACCAACCATGTTACTGAATCAGATCAAAAGCTGTGGAGAGGGTAAAGCACAAAACAAAAACCCTCACAGGGGAATCTTAACATTTTGAGGGGTAGCAGTGCTCCGCAGTCAGTACACACAGGAGGTGACAAGCAGACTATTTGGAAACCAAAAAATATCAAAGATGCTGTAGGAGAATGTACAGGAAAACTTTCAAGTGTATAAGTTGAAAATGATGCAGAAATGTAGAGGCTATATGACATGTCTTTGCATATTTAGTACCATTAATTGAAAATTTAGCACATTCCAAGAGAACGTGTTCTTAATCAAACTTCAAAACTGACCCATCAAAGTCAATAGGGCAAAGCACCAAATACCTGTGGATGTACTCCTGGGAACTAAAACCAAAATACTTTTGGAGGTTGCAAAGCTGCTGTACTGTGCCAATGTCCTTTCTTATACATGTACATATGTGATGACGGCTTGAGTCAGCTGCAGGGCAGGGGGCTCAATGAGAGCTTTGTAAAGACAGCTCTTCACTTCAGCTCATTAGCTTTGGTAATAGGCAAGTTTGTTTCCCATTATAATTTGATCATTCTTGTGATTAATTCAATGCCAGTTCTTAAAGAACTCTTTTATTTCTGTATATGAAGCTGATGTTTACCTTGGAAATGTTGCAAAATACATATAAGAAAGAAATAAAATATATTTTGAAAATTAGAAAAAAAAAGCCCAAGTCCTTTGGAAGTGTCCAGTGAGAGACAGCTCTGCACTTGTTTCTTGTGTGCCTGGTGAGCTTGCCTCAGCTGTCACCAGTGTCCCTGCACTGCCCCCATCAGAGCACCTGGCACTGCTGACTCCATGCTGTGGCCATTCCCTGGGGTTCAGGGTCCCCCTGCTTTAATCAGACTCCCCCACAGGTAGCCTGGTGCATTTTCTCTCTGAGCGTCTCCCCCCGCCCCAAGGAATTCAGGATCACAACCCCCAGACTGGGTGAGAAAATAATTTAGGGACAGGGTTCAGCACTGCACAGACTGGCATAGAGGTAGTAGTAAGTACTTAATTCCTTTTTCACTCCCTTGCCTACTACTAATGACTCCCCAGTACCCCAATCAATACTCTTTCAGCACTTCCCTGCTGTTTGGTGAGTACCCTGCCCACCTCAGAAGATGGGGCAGCCCTTGACAACCTTCCTCACCCTTGTTAGAGAGGGTGTCTCTTTCTCTGTCTTCCTCCACCGCAGGCCGGATTAGACTCCCCCAATAAATGACTTCCTATCACCATGCATTTTTCCTTCAGAGCTCTCATCAGAAACATCACTGGGGGGCCAGGCGCGGTGGCTCACACCTGTAATCCCAACACTTTGGGAGGCCGAGGCAGGTGGATCACAAGGTCAAGAGATAGAGACCATGCTGGCCAACATGGTGAAATCCCGTCTCTACTAAAAATACAAAAACTAGCTGGGTGTGGTGGTGTGCACCTGTGGTCCCAGCTACTTGGAAGGCTGAGGCAGGAGAATCGCTTGAACCCAGGAGGCGGAGGTTGCAGTGAGCCAAGATTGTGCCACTGCACTCCAGCCTGGCAACAGAGTAAGACTCGGTCTCAAAAAAAAAGGAAAAAGAAAAAAGAAACATCACTGGGGGTAATAATATCAGCACCAACCTCACAGGTTTTTTCTTTTTGTTTTTTTATTGGCGAGGATTAAATAACATGGGGTAAGTGCCTAGAATAGTGCTGGACACATAGGAAGCCCTCAGTGCATGTTAGCTAGGATTATAATACACAATTATTTGTGTGATTGAAATCGATCTCCTCCTCTGGACAATAAGCTCCATGCCAGAAGGAATTGTGTCCATATTTTGCTTATTATTATATCCCAATAGTAAGCTTTCATTCACTACTGGCTGAGTGGGTGCATGAATCACTAAAGGCCCTAAGTCTTCCTCATCCATTCTCCAGGATGTCTAGTGGCCTCTATGCAAATTGGGTTCCTAGTCTCTTATTCTGTTATCTAAGTGTTCTCTGGTTAGTATATGAACTAAACTCCTTCATACATACACACCTTTCAGACTTACATCACAGAGACCTCCCCCCTGTACACCCCCACAAAGGACACAGGTAGAATTTAGTTTTGTAAATACTGTTATTTGTCAACCTTATCTTTTCTAACTACTTACTAAACATTTATGACCGTGAAACATGGTAATCCAAGTGAATACACTTAACATACTGCCTAATAACAGTTATGGTGATGATGATTGTCTTTATTATAAAGACATGACAAGCCAAGAGCACTGGACTTCCATTGTAGGACATAAAAAACATTTGTTGAGTAAATGAACAAATGGGGAGGTGAATGAGTATCCAAGAGGTGGCCTGGATTGTAATCTAGTTTTAGATTAACCAGTTCTGTGACCTTTGACAAGTTATTTTGTGTCTCTTTATTTTTCTCTTCTGTGAAATTCAGGGGGCAGCGCGGAAAAAATCAGAAATTCTCTAAATTCCTTGGTTCACCAGCTATTTTATTTTATTTTATTTTATTTTATTTTATTTTATTTTATCTTAGAGAAAGAGTCTCACTACATTGCCCAGGCTGGTCTCAAACTCCAGGCCTCAAGAAACCCTACGGCCTTGGCCTCCCAAAGTGCTGACATTTCAGATATGGGCTACCGTGCCTGGCGTGAATCACCAACTTTTTAAGCTGAGAGGGCATTTGGTAGATCTGTCAGTTAATAGGTTGTTCATCAACTTCACCCAGAGTCTAAAGGTGTATTGCAAAGTCATCCAGCTTTGATAAATTAGACTGATTCTTAATGCAGAAAACGATACCCCTAGGCACATAGTAGACTCTCAGTAAGTTGTGGGTTGAATGAATGAAGCAGTGAATCGTATGGGATTATCTCATTTAAAACTGCTTTATGTTGATTCGTTTAAAACTTAATTATCAGATAACTTATTTCACTGATATTTATCAATGATAATTCTGTTAACTACCTGTACGAAAATAACTCAGTCCCTTAATCTTATCTTTCTTGGGGACATGTTTGCCTCCAGAGTACATGGACAGTAGACTTTTTTCCTTCAACATGTAACTTTAACAAAATGCAGTTATTTTAGGTCTTATTAAGTGTGCATGCACACACGTGTGTGTGTGTGTGTGTAAAAGAGAATAGAAAAAGCCTGAAAGAATATATCCAGGCTGTTAACAGCAGTTGTCTCTGATGGTAGAAATATAGATAACTTTCACTTTTTTCTTAATTTTTTCTTTTATAATCATTTATTTTTCAATTCAGAAAAAAATAATAGTTTCATAATTCACTTATGAAATAGCCTGGACTCAGGACATATAAGCCAGCTAATTAAATTTTTTGCTTTCTAATTTTAAAAATAGTATCATTCTTTGAGAACACTAAGTATAAAGAGGAAAACATCAACGACCTTCTATTGCAGTAGATCAGATCTCCCGTCCCACCCCTTCCAGATGTATGGAGGGTACCCCTAGCTTCCTGCTCATTTCCAGGGATGAAAAGCACGGTCCAGTTTGGTCTATACTTAGAGACTTCACTCGGGTCTACTTTAATACTCACTCCGTTCCCCACTCCCAGCCCAGCATGGATCCCGCTTCCCTCCTGAAAGACACAAATTGGGAGGAGATCTACTTTTCCTTCTTTCTTCTCCCTGGGATTAAGCTCTTTTAGGATTGCAGCCTGGGAAGGGGGATGGAAGAAATGGAACAGGCCTTTCCTTAACCGGCCTGCCAGCGTGCTTCCTTGTGCGTTGCTCTGCTGGCTTCTCAGGTTCACAGCCACTGGCATGGGAGCCCTGCATATGGGGTGTGTGAACCCTCAAGCGAGCCTCCCCATGCATGGCACCTTGACATGGGACCTCCACCACCAGGAAACCTCCTCCAAAGGTTCTGCAGCTTCTGCTCCAGAGGCACAGTCCACAGTGTCTGGCTGCTCAGAACCCCTTGCCCCAGGAATCCTGAGCTCATGAGCATTACAGAGGCAAGGTAAATTGAGCTAAGCTACTGTAGCTTCCAGTCCTTTAGTTCCAGGGGAGCTTATACCTGCTCACCTTGCCAAGCAGTGGGACCACTCCTCCTTCGTCTCCATTCTCCTTTTCCCTGCTAAGAAAAGCACAGAGCAGACCTACAGGGTACGGGGTTTCAGTAGAAATTTCCGTGGGGAATAATGCTGATTCCTCATTCTTGCAGACCTACCCCATCTGTGGGCAATTCTAGGCCCTTTAGCTTTGGAGGAGTGGGCAGACCATTTGAGATTCCAATGCATCTCCTGCTCCCCAGCCATCAGCCTTTTCCTTATACACACTGGAGAGATTTGACTTCTTGATAGACTCTGAGCAGTTAGACCCCAGTTGTTTGAAGATCTCTTTTGACTTGGGGTAGCTGATGTCTCTCTGCCCTAAGCTTTGGGTCCTTTTTGCCAACTTTAGGGAAACAGGTGAAATTTCCCTCAACCTAGTTATATAAATATCATATTCAGATTGATGGGCAACAAAATTAAAGCAAATAATCCAGCTAAGCGTGGTGACTCATGCCTGTAATGCAATGATTTGGGAAGCTGAGATGGGAGGATTGCTTGAGGCCAGGAGTTCAAGATCAACCAGGGCAACATAGCAAGATTCCACCTCTACAAAAAATAAAGTTGGCCAGGCATGGTGGTGCACACCTGTAGTCCCAGCTACTCAGGAGGCTGAGGTGGGATGGTTGCTTGAGCCAGAAGTTTGAGGCTACAGTGAGCCATGATTGTGCCACTGCATGCCAGCCTAGGCAACAAAGCGAAACCCTTGTCTCTAAAAAAAAAAAAAAAAAAAAAACCCAAAATGTCAGCAGTGGTTATCTAATGAGATTGAGAGTAATTTTTATTTTTCCCATTTTTTTTTTACTTTCAAATTTTCTCTTTTTTAAAATTATTTATATATAATAGTTCTACATATTTTGGGGGTACATGTGTATTTTGATACTTGTATACAATCAAATCGGGGTATTACTTTGTAATAATCAAATCAGGGCAATTGGGCTATCTATCACCTCAGACATTTTTCTTTGTGTTGGAAATGTTAAAATTATTCTCTTCTATTTTAAAATATATTCTAAAATTTTCTAGAGTGAACATGTAATCAGAAAGTAAACAATTTTTTTTTTTGAGACAGAATCTTGCTCTGTTGTGCAGACTGAACTGCATTGATCCAGTTTCAGCTTATTGCAATCTCTGCCTCCAGGACTCAAGTGATCCTCCCACCTCATCTCCCCGAGTAGCTGAGACTACAAGTGTGTGCCACCATGCCCAGATAATTTTATTTTTTGTAGAGATGAGGGTCTCACTATGTTGTCCAGGCTGGTCTCAAACTCCTGGGGTCAAGCGATCCTCCCCCCTCAGCCTCCCAAAGTGCTGGGATTATAGGCATGAGCCACAGTGCCCAGATGTAAACAGTTTTATTTAACAAAAAATAATTAGTGTACACATGAGCTGTAGGTTGGTAAAAAGAAAAAACAATTAGGCTATGTTAACCTGTACAACTTTTTAATTATAATCTCAAATACTGGGTTACTCCATTAAGCTAGATTTTGTCTCCTTTAATTTATTCATGCCTCGAAAAGAAAGATAAAATTTCTGCTTTATCAAAGAAAACTTTCTTTTTACACCTTCAGAAGAAATTAGTGCTTTTAAAAGTTAATTATCCAATTTTAGTTTATGTTGAAAAGAGGGCTGGTACTCTATTGAGTTTCTTTTCTTAAATTCTCATTAGCAAATAAATATTTTTGAATTGCTAGCTAGTAATTATAAAATGTGTTATGCCCTCCACATTGTGGAGGAAGCTTTTCTGCATTCATTTATACTGACTTTAACTTGTTTTTTTGTTTGTTTGTTTGGTTTTGTTGTTGTTGTTGTTGTTTTTTTTTGGAGATGGAGTCTGGCTCTGTAGCCCAGGCTAGACTGCAGTGGTATGATCCCACCTGTCTGCAACCTCCACCTTCTGGGATCAAGCAATTCTCCTGCCTCAGCCCGGCAAGTAGCTGGGATTACAGGCACGTGCCACCATGCCCGGCTAATTTTTGTATTTTTAGTAGAGATGGGGTTTCACCATTTTGGTCAGGCTGGTCTCGAACTCCTGACCTCAAGTGATCCGCCCGCCTCAGCCTCCCAAAGTGCTGGGCCTACAGGTATGAGCTACCATGCCCAGCCTACTTTAATCTTTATTCAGAGGTTTCTGATATTGAATATTTCTAAAGGCCTCTTTAGTATATATTTTTTAAAGCAAGCACTACAGCTTGACTTAATTTTTTAACTTACTAAAAAGGCTAACAAGGTTTGCTACCTCAGTATTAACAGAATTCAAAATCAGAATCTCTAAATCATGGCTCTATCTTTGAGCTAGGGTACCCACCCCTAGTATATGTGTCAAATAAATGAGTGCAAATACCTTTAACTAGGTTTACATTTCACTCTTTACATTCCAAAATAATAAACATAGGCATATTCCAAAAATTTCTCCCAGTACAGAGCATCTAGAGTAAAAAAACAAAAGAGCCACTTGAACATATCCTGCCAGTGGGGTATATCCTTCACATCTTTTTCTACATAGCTTTATTTTTAAATCACCTCATTAAAACTTTCAAATCTAATCTGATAATTTCGACTCTGGTTTTCATGTGTAAATGCCATCTAAAATACATTTTGATTCATAAACACTATAGCTGTTTAGGTTTGCTTTGTTTTATTTCACCTTTTACCCGTTCTGCCTGCAGATAATATGCAGACATTTTCTAGGTCACAATTATTTTTTCATCAGAACTTCTCCTTGAAATGGTAACCAGCGCCAGTGCACACAAAGAGGAAAGAAATTCATCTTTACTTCCAGGCTACCATACGTTTTTCTGTGCTTAGTAAGCTGTGTTTCGTGCCTCATATGCTTCTGTAAGCCTCTCATAAGGTTTAATTTAACTCAATAAATATTTGTGGAATTGAATTGAATTTCAGTAATTATTCCATAATCTTAAAGCATGTAGATACGGGAAGGTAGAAGGATAATACACCGTTTAGTGTTTGCCCTTTGAAGGTTGCCAAACCTCTACAAGCCTATTGCTGAAGTCAGGTGATACTGATAAGTGGGTTTTGTTAGTTATGTGGGGCTCACTAGAGAGGCGTTTAGTTCCTTTCCAATCACTGCTTTTTTTGGTCCCAGATTTCCAAGCTAAAAACCTCAATTGGAAATAAATTCATTTCCTTAAGCCATCTGGTGGCTTTTACTTGTAACTACAACATCGACTAGTGGCCAATCATAGAATTATCATATATGCCGAATACACGTGGGTTCTGTCATTTTCTCACCGTGTCTCCTACAAGATGTGTTGCGATGAAGTGATACCCAAGTAATGTGTAGATATTAGAAATCCAAGAGAAATCTTTATGGTTCTAACCTCGGGGCTACTTTAATATCAAGAGCAACATAGTAAAGGCTGTCGATGGTGGGGTAAGAAAAATCACATTAATTTATTATAATTATAAAATACAATTCTTGTTAAACATCCTTTAACATGCCAGGCAGTGTACCTAGATTTGGGGGCTATAAAAATTAATATGCAAGAGCCCGTGTTCTCAGGGAATACCGGCAAAATGATAACAGGGTAAGTATTATAATAGACCTGTCAAGGCAGAGATGGGGAAACCCTTGACTTTTACCCCAGATTGAAAACCAGAGAATGGCCACTAGTTCCCAGTGAGGTTTGCAACATACCCAAAAATAAAGTCAAAACTCTTTTTTGGAATCAGCTCACATGATGATGCAGCTGTAAGTGGTAGGTAAGTCGGTATCCTACCTTCTGCAAAAGCCAGGAATAGTCACATCTTTGTGTGATGCATAATCCTCAAGGTCATGTTACTCCAAGTTGGATCACAGCTGGGGAACCGGGGGCCCCAAGGTCAGTAGAGAAGCTCCCAGGTGCCTATCCAGCTTAGCCAAAGGTTACCTCCAGCCTGGCTGTTGGAGGAAGTAGTACAGCAAAGAGAATAAAGAGCCTGCTTGCTTGCCTGGCTGCACATGTGCCCATTCTACATCTACCAGCACGCTGAATGACAAAGTGTTAGTAGACAAAGAGAAGGAAGAGTGCATTTTGTCTTGGAAGGGCAGAGAAGGCTCCTGAGAGGCTGTGATGTTTGAGCTGAAGGTGAAAAATGGACAGGAATTCACCGGATAGGTACAGAAAAGGGCATTCTATTTAACGGAGACACATGCAAGTGTAAAGTATAAAAAAAGCAAGGCTGATTTGGGGACCTGTGGGTAATTCTGCATGTACAGAAAGGATGTTGTGAATGCAAAGTGATGGAAGCTACAGCTGAGAAGGTGGGCAAGAGCCCGCTCAGGATGAGATGTGCATGGCAAGCCCAGGGGATGGGCCTTTTGCCCTGCTGATAATGGGGCCACTGAAGGATTTTAAATAGGGCAATTATATAAAATCACTTACATTTTAGGGGAACTGTCCTGAAAGCAAGATTGATATCAGGGCTGAGCGCAGTGGCTCCCATCTGTAATCCCAGAACTTTGGGAGACCGAGGAGGCCAGATCACTTGAGGTCAGGAGTTCAAGACCAGCCTAACCAACATGGTGAAACCCCGTCTCTACTAAAAATACAAAAAAAAATTAGCGGGGCACAGTGGCACATGCCTGTGATCCCAGCTACTTGGGAGGCCGAGGCACGAGAAATGGTTGAACCGAGAAGGCGGAGGTTGCAGTGAGCACTCCAGCCTGGGCAATAGAGTGAGACTCCATCTCAAAACAAAACAAAACAAAAAGATATCAGGTTAAAAGGATGGACAACAGGAACTAGAAGGTCAGTTAGGTGGCTAGTAATATATTCCAGACAAGACATTACAAGGGTTTGCAGATGAAACTAGTGGTAATAAAGATGGAGAAGTGGGCATGGGATTGAGAAATATTGAGCAAGTATAATACACAGGTCCTTGTGACTTGGATATAAAAGCTTACACATACAGAGGAGTTTAGGATAATTCACAGGTTTCTGGCTTATAAAGGTGGGGGCAGGTGTCCCTGAGATTCGCTGAGTGTCTCACTGAGATAGACCACAGAGGAGGGAAAGCAGCTAGGAAGCAGCAAACACAACAAATTTGGTTTTGGAAGCATTCACGTTTGGGTTCCTATGGGGTGGGATTGATATTCCTTAGGCAGCAGGCTGTTCAGGTCTGAAACACAGTGGGAGGTCGGGGCAGAAGATGTAAATTTGAAATCCATCAGCATCAATGCTATGGCGAGGAAGAGATCATTCCTGACCAAGATGTTACGATACCCACACTTGGAAGCCATGTGTTAAATAAATGTCAAATGGATAAATATGCATTCTTATATACACCCAAGAATATACAGATAAACTGGCTGGAGGGCCAGGAAGAAACCTGCCTAGCATTTTCTGTAGAGCCTGGAAATGAAGTTGGGGTGGGGTGAGTGGAGGCCCAGAGAGGGTAAAGATCTGGTGTCACAAAGACATTATGGATAGTTATAAAAATAAGTATTTTCTGAGTGTGTATCTAGCTGCATTTATTTCTCGTAACTGAAGGTATAGTGCTGTGTCATCCTTGTCCAGAGCTAGGCATCACTCCTTATCTTCAGCCTTGATTGAAGCACAGAGCCCTGGACCCGACCATGTCAATGGGATAGAAAGTGAAGCGGGACAAGGGCGCTCGCAGGTGTGGAGCTATGAAAAATGTGATCTCAGACAGGGTGGAAATTCCAATCACAGTCACCCTGGGGAAATACCAGCATTATTCATCTACTGGAACTTTAAATTAAAAGGCTACCTAATTCTTCAGGGAAGGGGATTGTTTCCCCTTACGTCAATAAGTCCATTTTCTCCTTCTCCTTTCCTATTACATTTTAGAAGAAATTCATTCCAGTTAATATGAAAATGAGAAGCCACAAATTAGGAAGGATGTGTATGGGAGCAGCTCTGATGATTAACCAAGTCTGTCCGTTACTCTGGGTATCAATAATACACTTATTTTTCTGTCATTTAAATGCTCGGTATCCATCTGCTCTTGGAACCAATCTGAACATCCTAGCATTATAAAGCATGCACTAATGGAAAGATACTGAGCTCCTTTATTAATGTTAGAAGCTCCGTGTCACTTTCATGGAATCGGTAAGGACCATTCTGAAGGACAGTATGGCGTCCACAAAGGAAGAGTATTCGAATGAAACTTACCCTTGTAGGAAAAAAATCTCAGCCCAATCAGAAGCCAGCTATGGTTCACTTTTTCTTATTGAGATGTCCGAAAGTAAAATAAAGATATTCCTATTTCACCTCATTTCTGCTCAAATATTATTGTCTTTACCTAAATAAAAGATGGGATTTCCCTAAATGAAACCGAGCGCTTTCTATAAAATATTTTGACATCTAATGAAGTAAACATTCCTTTGTTAATATTCTTTTTCAAAATTATTTTGGTCCTTCCTCCCTGTTCATTCTTGTTGATAGATTTTTGAGTGAGTTTGTCAATTTCCCCCCAAAATCCTTTGGGGTTTTGACTGGAACCATCTTGTAGCTATGTCATAAGCTGGAGAAAATGGACATCTTTAGTCTTCCTATTGGTGAATGTGCTATGTGTCTCTACTTGTTCAAGTCTTTTTTTTCCCCTGCCTCAATGAATTTTAGCATTTTGTTTATGTAGGTCTGCATGTTTCTTAAGTTCACTCTGTTTTTTTTTAACAGCTTGCTGTACTTACAATGTGTCCAAAAGTACAAGCCAGAGTGTCATATTTATCAGGACACTGAAGGAATGCAAATTGTTCCACTATGGTCTTTTGAGAGATCACATAAAACAGAGGAAAATGTAGTCGTCGTCTATTGTTATGAAGAAATGGCTCATCTTATAAATTATATTTTGGTTGCTTTATGGAAATACCTACCAAATCACAGTGTGACTGCAGCAAATGTGGTTTTTTGGAAGAGCGCAGCCTGTCCAATCAATCTAATTTCCTCAAGAGCAGGATAGCTGACTTTTAGATAAAGGCAAAGAATTATATGTGAAATATCTGAGTTTCAGCAAGTCTTTATTCTAATGAATACGATTCTGCCACAAAGAATGGAGTCAACATAGTCTGGTGCTGACTGCATTGCTGATGGAGAAGTTGCACTTGAAAAGAGGCTGTCTTTTCAACTCTGTGTTTATTTGTATTAAATTAAAAGAAAACCAGCCTTTAGGGCAAACACACATCTTACAGGAGAACTCAAGTAGCTTTTTTTTCTAGAGTTGCTGTTGGTCATAGCAAAAAGTAGTTTAATTCTCTCCATCTTTTAGCTTGGAAAACATTTGCCTGAATTCCCAACCTACAGTCGTAGAGACTAGACACAACAATATTGCTTGAGAACAAAGAGGGAACCATTAATGTATCACTTCATGATCCTCTGAATTTTGCTATTCCCGTTCCTACCTGTTTATTTAGCATTTTATTAACACAGGGCAACCAACGCCCAAAGAAGTGATGAGGAAAGGAACAGGGGCCAAGAAGGTTATTAACGGATAAGATGAAGACCCTCACAACATACTAATCCTCCCTCTAGTTTTAAAAGATTTGAAGATATAACCAATGTAGAAAGGAACAGAAACTGTTGAGGATGTAGAACAACTGGAATTCTCATACATTGTTGGGAATGCAAAATAGTACAACCACTTTGGAAAACAGTTTGCAATTATCTTATAAAGTTAAATATACATTTATCATACCACCCAACAATCCCACTGGTGGGTATTTACCCAGGACTGGCTGTATAATTTGTGTGCCCAGTGTAAAATGAAAATGAGGGGCTCCTTCTTCAACAATTACTAAGAATTTCAAGACAGTGATATTAAACCAAGCACAGGGTCTTTCTGAGTTGAGCCCTATGTGTAATGCACACATTACACACTCAAGAAGCCAGTCCTATATCTACCCAACAGAAATGATAACATTTACCCACACAAAGATATTTTTTTCGCAACAGGACTTCACTCTGTTGCCCAGGCTGGAAAGCACTGGTGCAATCATGGCTCACTGCAGCCTCGACCTCCCTGGGCTCAAGTGATCCTCCCGCCTCAACCTCCTGAGTAACTAGGACAACAGGCACACACTACAATGACCTGCTAATTTTTGTATTTTTTGTAGAGACGGGGTTTTGCCATGTTGGCCAGGCTTGTCTCAAACTCCTGGGCTCGAGTGATCCTCCCGCCTCGGCCTCGCAAAGTGCTGGCGTTACAGGCATGAGCCACCATGCCCAGCAACACAAAGATTTTTATGTGATTGTATGTTATGGTCTGAATGTTTGTGTCCCCTCAAAATTCATGTATTGAAATCCTAACCCAAAAGGTGATGGTATTAGCAGGTGGGTGGGGACTTTGGGAGGTGATTAGGTCATGTGGATAGGGTTCTCATGAACAGAACTCTTAGAAGAGATCCCTCGCCTCTTCTGCCATGAGAAGTTACAGTCAGAAGATGGCTATCTGTGAGGAAGCAGGCTTTCCCCAGACACCACATCTGCTGGCACGTTGATCTCGGACTTTCCAGCCTCTGGAACTGTGAGAAATACATTTCTGTTATTTATAAGCCACGCAGTCTATGGTATTTTGTTATAGCAGCTTGAACAGACTGAGACAGAAATTGGTACTGAGAAATGCGATACTATTGTAACAAATTCCTAGAAATGTAGAAGTAGCTTTGGACCTGGAGAATGGGAGAGTTTTTAGGTACATGCTGGAAAAAGCCCACATTGCCATGAAGAGACCTTTAAATGTGATTTTGGTAAAGCTGTGGAAGAGGAGAGCTGTAGGGAGAGCCTCAATCTTCATAGAGGCACCTGAGTAATCCTAGGCAGAATGTTGGTAGAAATGTGGACACTAAAGTCCATTCTGATGAGATCTGTATTAGTAAGTCTTCATGTTGCCGATAAAGACATACCCAAGACTGGGAAGAAAAAGAGGTTTAATGGACTCACAGTTCCATGTGGCTAGGGAGGACTCACAATCATGGCAGGAGGCAAAAGGCACTTCTTACATGGTGGCAGTAAGAGAGAGAATCATGGTGGAAGGCAAAAGGCATAATTCTTACATGGCAGCACAAGAGAGAGAATGATGGCCAAGCGAAATGGGTTTCCCCTTATTAAACCATTAGATCTCACGAGACTTATTCACTACCACGAGAACAGTATGCGAGAAACCACCCCATGATTCAATTATCTCCCACCGGGTCTCTCCCACAAGACATGGAAATTATGGAAGCACAATTCAAGATGAGATTTGGGTGGAGACACAGAGCCAAACCATCAAGGTCTCAGATGGAAACGGAGAACATGTTATTGGAAACTGGAGGAAAAGCAATCTTTGTTATAGAGAGGTAAGGAATTTGGTGGAATTGTGTTCATGTCCTAGTGTTTTGTGGAAGGTGGAACTTGTGAGCAATAAAATTGGATAGTTGGCTGATGAAATTTCTTTTTGGGATGGAGGTGGTGATGGAAATGTTCTATATCTTTATTGTGGTGGTGATTACATGGGTTTATACATTTTTCAAAACTTAAGAGTATAATACAACTTCCAAGCTTACAATCAGCTAAAAAGGAAAGAAAAAAAAGTACTAAGCCAGCAAAAGTAAAAACATGGAGAGGGAAAAAAATGAATGGTAAATATCAAAGAAGGTATGAAGTCATGTACATCATGTGATCTGACTCTTTTATTTAAATTTCGTTCTTTCAATATCTTTAGGAGTACACGTGGTTTCTAGTTATATGGATGAATCATACAGTGGTGAAGTCTGGGGTTTTAGTGAAATCATCACCCAAGTCGTATAAGTTATATCCAATAGGTAGTGTTTTCATTCCTCATCTCCACTTCTACCCTTCCCCCTTCTGAGTCTCCAGTGTCCATTATACCACTGTCTGGCTTTGTATACCCATAGCTTAACTCCCACTTACAAGTGAGAACATACAGTATTTGGTTTTTCATTCCTGAGTCATTTCACTCAGAATAATAGTCTCTAGTTCCGTCCAAGTGACTGCAGAAGACATTATTTTGCCTTTTTTTTATAGCTGAGTAGTATTCTATGGAATTTATACCACATTTTATTTACTTACAGGTTGATGGGCACTTAGGCTGATTCCATATTTTTGCAATTGTGAATTGTGCTGCAATAAACATAAAGATGCTAGTGTCTTTTTGATATAATGATTTTTTTTTCCCTTTGAGTACTTACCCTGTAGTGGGATTTCTGGATTGAATGGTTCTTTGAGAAACCTCCATACTGTTTTCCATAGAGGTTGTACTAATTTACATTCCCACCAGCAGTGTATAAGTGTTCCATTTTCACCACATCCATGCCATCTATTGTTTTTTGACTTTTCAATAATGTCCATTCTGGCTGGGGCAAGGTAGTATCTCACTGTGGTTCTAACTAGCATTTCCCTAGTGATTCGTGATGTTGAACATTTTAAAAACGTTTTTTGTCCATTTGTACATCTTCTTTTGAGAAATGCCTGTTCATGTCATTTGCCCACTCTCACCTCACCCCCCTTTTTTTTGAGACAGGGTCTTACTCCGTTACTCAGGCTACAGTGCAGTGGCACAATCATGGCTCATTGCAACCTTGACCTCCTGGGCTCAAGTGACCCTCACACTTCAGCCTCCCAAGTCACTGGGACCACAAGCACATGCCAGCATGTCCAGTCATTTTTAATTTTTTTGTGGACATAGTGTCTGCCTGTATTCCGCAGGCTGGCCTTGAATTCCTGGGCTAAAGCAATCCTCCCACCTTGGCTTCCCAAACTGCTGGGATTACAGGCGTGAGCCACTGTACCCAGCCTGCCTACTTTTTAACAAGATTATTTGTTTTATTCTTTCTGATCTGAGTTCCTTGTAGATTCTGGATACTAGTCCTTCGTTGGTTGCATAGTTTGCAAATACTTTCTCCAACTGTATAGGTTGTCTGTTTACTCTGATTATTTCTTTTGGCTGTGTAGAAGCTTTTTAGTTTAATTAGGACCTATTTGTCTATTTTTGTTTTTGTTGCATTTGCTTTTGGGGTCTTCGTCATAAATTATTTGCCTGCCAATGTCTAGAAGAGCTTTTTTCCTAGGTTTTCTTCTAGAATTTTAAAATAATTTCAGGTCTTAGATTTAAGTCTTTAGTCCATCTTGGGTTGATTTTTTTTTATATAATGAGAGATAGGAATCCATTTTTATTCTTCTACATGTGGCTATACAATTTTCCCAGCGGCGTCATTGAATACAGTCCTCTCCCCAGGTTTTTTTTTTGTTTTTTTTTTTTTATGCTTTGTCAAAGATCACTTGGTTGTAAACATTTGGCTTTATTTCTGGTTCTCTATTCTGTTCCATTGGTCTATGTATCAACTTTTATACCAGTACCATGCTCTTAGGTTGCTATAGCCTTATAGTATAATTTAAAGTTCAGCAATGTGATGCCTCCAGACTTGTTCTTTTTGCTTAGGATTGCTTTGGCTATTTGGGCACTTTCTTGGTATCATATGAATTTTAGCATTGTTTTTTTCTAATTCCATGAGGAATGACATTGGTATTTGGATAGAAATTGCATTGAATGTGTAGACTGCTTTGGGTAGCATGGTCATTTTCACAATATGAACATGTGATCTCTTTCAGCAGTGTTTTGTAGTTCTCTTTGTAGAAATCCTTCACCTCACCAGGTGGAGTGGCTCATGCCTGTAATCCCAGTCTTTGGGGGGCCTAGGGGGCAGACTGCTTGAGCCTAGGAGTTCTAGATCAGCCTGGGAAACATGGCAAAACCCTGTCTCTACAAAAAATACAAAAATTATCCAGGTGTGGTGGTGCACGCCTATAGTCCCAGCTACTCAGGAGGCTGAGGTGGGAGGATAGCTTGAGCCGAGGAGGTGGAGGTTGCAGTCAGCTGAAATCATGCCATTGCACTCCAGCCTGGGTGACAGAGCCAGACACTGTCTCAGAAAGAAAGAAAAAGAGAGAAATGAAGGGAAGGGGAAGGGGAAGGGAAGAAGGAAGAAAAGAAGGAAGGAAGGGAAGGGAAGGAAGGAAGGGGAGGGAAGAAGGGAAGGAAGGGAGGGAAGGAGAGAGGGACAGAGGGAAGAAAAATGAAATCCTTCACCTCCTTGGTTAAATATGTTTTTAAGTATTTTGTTTTATTTTTGCAGCTATTGTAAAAGGGATTGAGTTCTTGATTTGATTATCAGCTTGGTGGTTTTAGTAGTGCTACTGATTTGTGTATACTGATATTATAATCTGAGACTTTACTGAATTTGTTTATCAAATGTAGGAGTCTTTTGGAGGAGACTTGAGGATTTTCTAAGATTATGTCATCGGCAAGCAGAGACAGTTTGAATTCGTCTTTTCCAATTTCGATGCCCTTTATTACTTTCTCTTGCCTGATTGCTCTGGCTGGGACTTCCCTCATGAAATTTCTAGGTAAAATGTTGAAAATGCTGCTTGATTTCTCTTAACTGCTTATAGTAAAATACAACAAGAGATAAACTATGTAAACATGGATTTTTTTTTTAATCAAAAGGAGAGCAAAACATTAAATTTTGGAAAATTCTCAGCCTATTCATATTGAAAGGTATGAGAAAGCATGTTCAAGAGAAAGCAGGAGTGTAGCCAAGTGACTATTTGATGAGGAAATTAGTATAGATCTGGTATCCCAAAGGAAACCAGGTGCTATTCATGAAGACAATGACTGAATGACCCAAAAAGTATTTTGGAGTTATTGGTGCTGCCCCTTGCATCACAGACCCAGAACACAAGTGCCTGGGGTTCAGAACAATTTCAAGGCTCTGCTCCCTGCATACTACTCAGCGTTCCTTGGCTGCCCCAGGTGTGGCTCCAGTGGGCCCAAGTGTGGCTTAGCCTGTGGTAGCTATCCCTGCAGAAAGTACAGACAGGAAACCATGGCAGCCTCAGTAAGGCACCATCTCTATCAGAACACAGGGTGCATGAGGCATGGGTCATGGCTATTTTCACCTAGATTTTGAAAGAAAAAGCTATTCAGAGTATTGAGTACCCAACCCAGACCACCATGAGGGTGTGCCACATCACAGTCCCCACTAAGGCAATGCTCTGCGGGTGGGGAGGGGGGCATCGCTGTGACCCCAGACCGGTTGAGTTACTAGCATACAATTCCAGCCCAGAAAAGCCACAGATGGGAGGCTCCAACTCCTAACAGCTGTGGTCGGAGCTGTGTCCAGCAAAGCCATGGGGACAGGGCCTCCAGGAGACTTGGTGGCCCACCCCCTGCCCAGCAAACCTCCAGAGATGGAACCCTTCAACCCAGTGGGCCTAGAGGGCAGACGCTTGAGTCAAAGAAGATTGTTTCTGAGCCTTAAGGTTTTGAACTTGCTTGGAACATATTAGCCCTTCTTTTCTATTTCTCCCTTTTGGGATGAGAATGTCTATCCTGTGCCTGTCCCACTGTTGTGTTTTGGAAGCACATAACATGTTTGCTTTCGTGGGTTCACAGCTGCAGAGCAACTTGCCTGTAAATGAGTTGTACCTTGAGTCCTACCTATATCTGGATTAGATGATGTTTAAATGAGACTCTGGACTTCAGAGTTTTCAGTTGATGCTGGAATGAGTTAAGACTTTGGAGGCTATTAGGGTGAATGTATTGTGCATGTGAGAAGAGTGTGAATTTTGGTGGGCCAGGGATGGAATGCTATGGTCTATGGTTCCCTGAGTAATGCAGATATGTGTCTGCATTACTTGTTTGTGTTTCCCCAAAATTCATATGTTGAAATCCTAACCACCAAGGTGATGGCATTAGGAAATGGGGGGCTACTGAGAGGTGAATAGGTCACGAGGGCAGAACTCTCATGAGGGAGATCAATGCCCTTGTGAAATAGATCCAAGGGGGCACTCCCACCTTGTGAGGATATAGCGAGAAGGCACCATCTATGAATCAGAAAGTGGCTCCTCACCAGACAGCAAATCTGCTAGCACCTTGATCTTGGACTTTCCAGCCTCCAGAACTGTGAGAAATAAATGTCTGCTGTTGATAAGCCACCCAGTCTCTGGCATTTGTTATAGAAGCCCAAATAAACTGAGACAATGTGTACATCTGCATTACTCGTAGAACTGAAAACTGGAAGCAACCCAAATATGCATCAACTGATAAATGGATTAATACATTGTGTTACGTTTGTAAAACGAACTACTACTTAGCAATAAAAAGGAACAAAATATTAAATCATACAGCAGGGATAAGTCTCAAACCCTTCTACTAAATAAGTGGGACACGAAGACTCAATACTGTATTATTCTAATTATATGATATTCTACAAACAGCAAAACTTTAAGTAACAGAAAGCAGGTCAGTGGTTGCCTTGAGCCAGAGGTTAGGAAAGGAGCTTGGAGAAAACATTTTTGAGTAATAAAAATGCTCAATATCTTGGGGAATGTTATTGTATGGAAATTACACTTCAATGAACCTAGAAAAAAATTAAATAGAAACAGAAAGCTAAGTAGACATATATAAAATATAAGTCACATTAATCCAAAACACTTAAAAATAGGTGTATTATGTTGTATGGCATTTTGGCGTAACTAGAGCAATAGGAACATACACATCTGTGAACTGGATTCTTTTTTCAGTCAGCACACATTTTTATCATTGTCGTCTCCTCACTTTATTGCAAGTACAGTCAGCATCAATGTTGAGAACTTTTTCTCCTAGGAGGTACGGGATTTGGCTCTGATACGGTGTTGCCTCCACAGTTGCCCAGAATCTAGGCTCCATCTGCTACAGGAAAGGGGTCCTAATCCAGACCCCAAGAGAAGGTTCTTGGATCTTACGCAAGAAAGAATTTAGGGCAAGTCCACTGTGCAAAGCAAAAGCAAGTTTATTAAGAAGGTAAGGGAATAAAAGAATGGCTACTCCATAGACAGAGCAGCCCTGAGGACTGCTGGTTGCCCATTTCTATGGTTATTTCTTAATAATATGCTAATCAAGGGGTGGATTATTCATGCCTCCCCTTTTTAGACCATATAGGGTAACTTCCCGACGTTGCCATGGCATTTGTAAGCTGTCATGGCACTGCTGGGAATGTAGCAGTGAGGACGACCAGAGGTCACTCTCATCACCATCTTGGTTTTGGTGGGTTTTGGCCGGCTTCTTTACTGCAAACTGTTTTATCAGCAAGGTCTTTATGACCTGCATTTTGTGCTGACCTCCTATCTCATCCTGTGACTTAGAATGCCTTAACCGTCTGGGAATGCAGCCCAGTAGGTCTCAGCCTCATTTTACTCAGTTCCTGTTCAAGATGGAGTTGCTCTGGTTCAAATGCCTCTGACACTTCTGCAACTGCCTAGGCTGCCTTCTTTCCTGAGATGTCCACAGCAGCAGAGTCAGCTTCCCCCTGCTTCCTGTCTGTGGTATCCTGAGTGTCCGGGGACTTGAGACCCCAGAAACTTGGGACCAGGACGCTGCATGAGTGGTCTCCCCAGAAATTGCAAGTACCATTATCCAGCTTCAGTGGCATGGGGTAGGGGAAGAGGGAACTTCCAGGAAAGGCCCCGTCTGCATTCCTGGAATCAGAGAATCTAGAGATGTTGAAAAAGGAGCAACTGTTCCGAAGCTCAGACAGGAACAGGGAATGAGGCAGGGGAGGCTTTAGACAGAGGGCTGCGCAGCCATCCTAAGCCCAAGTGAGAGGGGCTCTGGGCCCTAGAGTTGTCACACTTGCTTGCCCCTCTCCCTGACAGCAGGTGTCTGGGCTCCAGGCACCGAAGGTGCAGCACCTCACAGCCTCCACACAGGCAATGGGTGGAGACCATCCCTCCTCACCTAACTCCATGCATCCCAGTAGGCTTAAGTCAGGAGTAACTTCATGCTTTTCTGATGATCATCAAAGTGTGACTTTAGAAATAATGACCAATCTCCTGAATGAAAATAAAGGACATTCTTCTTTGTTTGCAGATGCTTTAAATTCCTTCAAGAGAGTTTTACTTTCAAATGTCTGGAATGAATAATTAAGCTAAATTCCTTTACCCTAAAGAGTAATCAACAGTTCTAAATGATTCTTCCTGGTTCCAATTGGAAGAGGAGGTACTAAAATGTGTGTGTGGTGTGGGGAAAATGACAGAGAGATAAGGCTGGAAGACAAACTTGATAAACACCATAACTTTTCAAAAGTAGCACAATTTGCTGTCCACCAGACAAAAAGACTGCTCAATGCAATATTTCTGCTGCATGTGCCAAGGCCAGGTTCAAATGTGGGATCAGAGTTCATCAAGACTGTCAGAACACGATAGAAGGCAAGAAATCCCTAGCACCTGATTTCACTGGTGCAAACACAGGCCCAAGAGTGAGGAAGGATCCTAGGCTTTGCCATCTCAACCTCCAGGCTCTTTTCACCACATGCTATTATTACCAGAAACCATCCTGATCTAGACCCCAAGAGAGGGTTCTTAGATTTCACGCAAGAAAGAATTTGGGGCAAGTCCATAAAGTAAAGTGAAAGCAAGTTTACTAGAAACGTAAAGAAACAAGAGATTGGCTACTCCATAGGCAGAGAGCAGCAGCAGGGGCTGCTTGATTGAGCATACTTATGGTTATTTCCTGATTATATGCTAAACAAGGGGTGGATTATTCATGAGTTTTCTGGGAAAGGGGCAGGGATTTCCTGGAACTGAGGGTTCTTCCCCCTTTTAGATCATATAAGGGTAATTTCCAGGCATTGCTATGGCATTTGTAAACTGTCACGGTACTGGTGGGAGTGTCTTTTAGCAGCTAGTGCATCATAATTAATGTATAAAGAGCAATGAGGACGACCAGAGGTCACTTTTGTCACCATCTTGGTTTTGGTGGGTTTTTGCCGGCTTCTTTATCGCATCCTGTTTTATCAGCAGGGTCTTTATGACCTGTATCTTGTGCCGACCTCCTATCTCATCCTGTGACTAAGAATGCCTAACCTCCCAGGAGTGCAGCCCAGCAGGTCTCAGCCTTATATTACCCAGCCCCTATTCAAGATGGAGTTGCTCTGGTTCAAATGCCTCTGACAGTACGATGGATTCCAGTAGTGCTGTTCGGCTCAGCAAACAATATCCCAAAATGAAGGCCTGAGAAGCAGCCTCAGGAGCAAAAGTTTTTCTGACTTTGTCCTTCTCTCCTGTCTCTCAGTCCCGCTCTCCCTCAAGGCTAGCCGCAGAAACTAGAATCCCTCCTCCCCAAGGCTAGTCTTAGAAATTAGAAACCCTTTTCCTCAAAGCCAGCTATAAAACCTAAAAGTATTACTCTGCCTTTCCCTCTGCCTTTCTATGTAAAAACTGGCCGTAAAGAAATGATCTGACCTACACTGTTTGACGGTAGGTCATAAGGCCCCTGTTGCAGAAAGGGTCTCGCCTCATACCCAGAAGGAAGGATCGCTGTGCAGAGGGGCCGGGAGAATCTAGACAGACACGGCTGTCCATACTTTGTTGAACCTGAGAATAAAAATGGACAATCTCCCTTGTACCTCTGGGTCTTCAGTCTGGAGGCTCCATATATACACGTTAAATAAATTTGTGTGCATTTTCTCCAGTTAATCTGTCTTTTACACGCTGATTCTTCAGTGAACCTTCCAAGGCCCCAGGGGAACTTTCCCATTGGCCCGTGCAGTCCATGCTTAGGGGACTGAAGGCGCTGTAGATAACTGCCTCATCTCCCTGTTACAGCTGGAACTGTGTTCTCCAAAAGAATATGCAGGAGTCCTCATCCCCAGTGCCTCAGAACGTGGCCTTGTTTGGCAATAAGGTTGCTGCAAACATAATTAGTCAAGATGAGGTCACACTGGAGCAGGGTGGGCCTTTTTACCGGTATGAGTGGTAACCTCCTAGGAGGATGATGTGAGGAAATGGCGGGGAGAAGGCCATGTGAGGAGGGAAGCAGAGACTGGAGTTGTACAGCTGCAAGCCAACGAGTGTTGAGGATTGCTGGTTACCCCTGAAGTAGGAGAGAGGCAAGAAGGATTCTACCGACTCTAAGGTTCTGGAAGACAGAAGCAGTGCCTGGCTCATTTTTCCCCTACAGTGGCTGTCTTATAGAGTAAGGGACCAGAGGAAGCCAGCCCTTTCTTTAGTCATAAGAGCCCCAGACAAAGTGAAGCCCTTTCTTTAGTCACTGACAGAGCAGGAGCATCGCCATCTTGGACAAGCACCGCCATTCTAAAGTTCACCTTGATCAAAAACCGCCTAAATCCAAAGGGCATCAGCCTAATGGCTAAGGTCAGCATTACCATAAACCACAAATAACATCTCCAACCAGAAACATTCCAAACTCCTCCCCGATCAGAAACATGTCAGCCCCAAGATAACCTCCCCTCTGACCAGAGACATTACAACCACATCATAAACTTCTCCACACACAGAAACATTCAAAGCTTGTCATAAGCCCCCTCACCATAAAACCAATATATACTCTTAGTCTGTAAGAGAACATGCTCGTGACTGAGATGGGCCAGAAGCCCCTCTCAGGTTTATTTTGGAGAAATAAACCTGTTCTTTAACTGTTGAGCTGCTTTTCGTGTTTCTTTCCTCTTTCTTTAACTCTTACAGTCACAAAGGCTGCAGAGCTGTCCCCTAGCCCTGTGTTGGCTGGGCAACTCCTTTGACACACAAATGGGAGATGGGAAATGGGGCTAATACCCTGGAGACATAAGGACTCTTTTGCTCCCCATCCTGTCTGCATGGTATTCTTGAAGCCTGCTTGGGAGCTTCACTGGGGCCTGTGTTGCTGTTGATGGCCTTGACGTTTCTCAGCCCCACTCTTCTGTATGGCAATCCTCTGAGCAAACCTCTACCCTGTCTCTGCCACAGACTATTAGAGGGAGCTTCCTGTGCTTCTATCATCCCCTGAGACTACCCAGACAGAGGAGAGTCTTATTTATTTATCTGTCTCACTTATTTCCAAACCCCCAATACCCAGTGTTTGTCACATAACAGGATTCTGTGCAAGTACTAAACTGAACAGACCTGGCTTTTTTTTTTTTTTTTTTTTTTGAGACAGAGTCTTGCTCTGTTGCCCAGGCTGGAGATCAGTGTTGTGATCTCGGCTCACTGCAACTGCTACCTCCTGGGCTCAAGTGATTCTCCTGCCTCAGGCTCCTGAGTAGCTGGGATTACAGGCGTGCGCCACCATGCCTAGCTAATTTTTGTATTTTTAGTAGAGACAGGGTTTCACCATGTTGGCTAGGCTGGTCTCAAACTCCTGACCTCAGGTGATCCACCCGCCTCACCCTCCCAAAGTGCTGGAATTACAGGAATGAGCCACCCCGCCCAGCCAAGACCTGGCTATTTTAAAGTTTAGCTACAGGCTAAGAAAAAAAAAAATTTTTTAACTCTATCAAACAGGTTCAAGAAAATTCCTGAATAATCGTTAGCATTCCATTTCTTAGCCAGAGCAACACAGTGGCTCAAAGACGATGTGTGTGTACATTTTGTGTTTTATAGGCACACAGCTCTAATAGAGAGGCTGGAAAGCTTGCCCTACTCATTTCTTCACAGTTTATTATGTGGAAAAACATAAGCCTTCTGTTTTCCTGGGTTGTTAACTTGGCACCTCATTTCATGTAGAGAACTTGCATTAAAAGACACTACCTCTGTGAGTTAATCAGCCATTTAAAGAACAAAACTACTTGACAGGATGAGGGACTCTCAGGGCTCATCCTCCATGAAGAATGACATCAGAGGCCAGGGGAGGGGAGAGATTTATGACCTGGGTGCCCAATCACTGAATCATCAAAACGATCTAATAAAGTTGGTTGGTCTACGACCCACTCCAGAGACGATGGAATTGAGACTTTAAGAGGTTAAGTAACGAGTCCAACATCATGGAGCCCAATGGCTCTGATTCAAAAGAGGGGATTTTTTTTTCCCGAAGTAATTTATTTTATTTTGACACGTAAAAATTTTATATATTTATTGCGTACGTATTCTGACATGTAAACATTGTGTAATGGCTAAATGGAGCTACTTAAAGTATGCATTGCCTCACATACTTATCTTTTTGTAGTGAGGACCTTTAAAAAGCCAGAGATTTTTACTTATTTATTTATTTCGAAGAGATCTCCATCCAGCCCAGGCTGGAGTGCAATGGCACAATCATGGCTCACTGTAGCCTCAACCTCCCAGGCTCAAGCAATCCTCCCACCTCAGCCTCCCGAGTAGCTGGGACCACAGGTGTGCCACCACGCCTGGCTGATTTTATTTGTTTATTTATTTATTTGAGACAGAATCTCGCTCTGTCACCCAGGCTGAAGTACAGTGGCACAATCTCAGTTCACTGCAACCTCCACCTCCTGGGTTCATGCAATTCTCCTGTCTCAGCCTCCCAAGTAGCTGGGACTACAGGCCTCCGCCACCACACCCAGCTAAGTTTTTGTATTTTTAGTAGAGATGGGGTTTCACTATGTTGGCCAGGCTGGTCTCTAACTCCTGACCTCAAGTGATCTGCCCACTTCGGCCTCCCAAATTGCAGGGATTACAGGCCTGAGCCACCACACCAGGCCTAATTAAAAAAAAAAAATTTTTTTTAAGAGATGGGGGTCTCTGTATGTTATGTACTTGCCTGGTCTCGAACTCCTGAGCTCAAGCAATTTTCCCTTCTCAGCCTCCCAAAGTGCTGAGATTACAGGCATGAGCCACTGCACCTGGCTTGGTTGGGTATTTATTGCAGAGTTGTACACAGTCAACTGGCTGACTGGGATCCATATCCTAAGAGAATCTTTTTTCTTATGACCTGTATTTTTTTCACTACACTAAAAATACGTGTTTGTTGTAGAAAAACTAGAAATTGCTGACAAACAGAAATAATGCTTAAATCACACATAATTCCACCACCTAGAGATAAATACTGTTAATATTTGGAGTGAGCATTCATTCAGATGTCACTATGTATTTATCTATTTTTCACACAAATAGGATCACATTATACATGCAACGTTATAACATGGTTTATGAACTAAGCAGTATCATGAACATCTTTATGTCAACAAATGTACAGTGCAATTTTCATCAAATGATGCATAGTAGGCCATTAAAAAAAAAACATATTTAACCAATCCTGCACTGTTGAACCTTCAAGTTGTTTCAAAATTGTCTTTGCTGTTAGAAACAATACTATGACAAGCTTACCCAGGAGGAATGTGTTCACAGAGAAGAGGACAAGCAGGGACACAGTGGCCCTGAAGACAAGGACAGGCCCCTGGGGACGAAATGAAGCCCAAAGGACAAATCGAAAGCAGGATGGTGACTGTCAGGGGCTGGGAAAGGCAGAAATGGGGATTGCTGTTCAGTGGGTATGGAGCTTCAGTCCTGCGAAATGCAGATGTTCTAGAGATCTGCTGTGCAACACTGTGTATAAATTATAGTTACCAATAGCATACTGTATACTTAAAAGATTGTTGAGAGGACATCTCATGTGATGTGTTTCTCACCACAATAACATGAATATAATCGAAAACAAAAACAAAAACAAAAAAGACCAAAACAACAACAAAACAAAACAAAACAAAACAAAACAAAAAAACCAAGCAACCAGAGAAGGAGAACTACCACCAGGAAGGAAGGAGGGGTGTTAACAGAAGTCCATGGAAGAGAGAATTTCACAAAGGGGACAGAACACCGAGCACTGCAGTATTTGCTACCACACTAATAAATAGTCGTCCATGGAGTCAGTTGGATGCTCTACAAAATCCATAAATGCAACGTCATGAAATTGTCTCCCAAAGGCCTTGGATTTTCCCACCACAAAATGCAGCCCAATGGAGTTGGCAGGCAGGAGGTCAACTCTGGAGCCTGAAGCTGCTTTCTGGAAACAAGTCGTTACTGACTCCTTGGTGCATGTTGGCACATGCCAATGAGCATAAGTGCTGTGTGTCACGAGCAATCTGGTGTCAGAGATGGGGTTGGCCCCTGGATAACAGAGACCTGTGTCCTGCCCAGAGCATGCACAACTACAGGACCAGCCACACACAAATTGGCCAAAACCTTCTCTGCCCTGTGGCTATCCTTTATCCTTTATTTATTTATTATTGGCTGCATTTCTGCATTTCTTTTTTTAGGTAAGTTTTTACTTCTCCTCTGACATATTTAATGTTATCCATTAAAAACTATTGATTGATTCAGTCCATCACCTACAAATATTAGCAGATACAATTTTAAAAATTCCTTCAAAATGTGCACAGGCACAAACCTGATATTACCCATTGTGAACTTAGGCCTCTTAAAATTAGCCTGCATCTTTGACAACGTCGCTGATTCTATGTAAAAATTAATGTGCTTATGTAAGGGTATGTCCTGTTCCATATCAGGTGAGACCTTCCAGACTTCTTAGGTGGGGCCCAAGATGGTGACTGCAAATGTTATTTGGCTAGGGTAACCAACTTAGCCCCAGGTTTGCCCAGGAGTTGCCTGGTTTTAGCACTGAAAGTCCCTTGTCCCGGGAAACCCCTCAGTCCTGGACAAACCAGAAAGTCGGATGGTCTGTCAGTCACCACGCACTTGGCACCAGTCAGTTCAGGTAGCTCTCTCTACCCAACTCTATCTTGAGGCCTTATTTTTGTTCTAGAGTTCATAATTCATTGATTGTGAATGAGTCTCTACCTCTGAAGAAATTACATGCACTTTGTTAACAGTTAATATTGGGCCAGGCACAGTGGCTTATGCCTGTAATCCTAGCACTTTGAGGGGCCAAGGCAGGAGAATCACTTGAGCCCAGGAGTTCAAGACCAGCCTGGGCAACAATATAAAGACCCTGTCTCTACAAAAATACAAAAATAGCTGAATGTGGTGGTACATGCCTACAGTCCCAGCTACTCAGGAGGTTGAGGCAGGAGGATCACTTGAGCCTGGGAGTTCAAGGCTGCAGTGAGCTAATTTTGTGCCACCACAGTCCAACCTGGAGGACAGAGCAAAACCCTGTCCATAAAAAATAAACAAATAAAGTAAAGGTGCTTGTGGATATTAGAAGGCAGGAGAAGAGGAAAGCTTTCTGCTGCTGGCTCTGACTCTTGGTGGTAGTTACTGACGAAGCTGGCAATGGAAAGGGGCAGCTGGGAGCCAGCAGCCTGAGCAGACAGCACCTCTTTCAGCAGTCCCTGCCCAGACTGAGGCAGTACCTCTTCCATGGATCTGGAACCAACTGCAGCAAGCACAGGCTCGGGGACTGAGCTCAAGGGCACTAACAGCTTCTGATTTTCAAGGATCACAGCTTCTTCCTTTTGGATCCTCCAGTCCCATTTCCTTCCTTTTACTCTTCCAACCTTCTTAATATCTTTGTTTATTTTTACTTTTTATGTATGTGTATATGTATTTATTTTTGAGATGGAGTCTCGCTCTGTCGCCCAGACTGCAGTGCACAACTGTGCGATCTTGGCTTACTGCAACATCTGCCTCTCAGGTTTAAGTGGTTGTTATGCCTCAGCCTCCTGAGTAGCTGGGACTACAGGCAGGCACCAGCAAGCCTGGCTAACTTTTGTATTTTTAGTAGAGATGGGGTTTCGCCATGTTGGCCAGGCTGGTCTCAAACTCCTGACCTCAAGTGATCTGCCTGCCTCAGCCTCCAAAGTGCTGGGATTACAGGCATGAGCCACCACACCCAGCCAATATCTTTGAAACCAATTTCTTGTATTAAAGTCCCTCTGTTTGAAATACCTAGAGTGGTTTCAGTTTTCCTAACTAGACCCTTAGTGGTTCAACCATTTTTTTCTTTTCTTTTCACAATTTTCAATCCTGAAAAAAATTTAAACATATATTTTCCACCAACGTTTTGTCCCATTTGTGATCTCTCTCTTTCTCTCTCTCTCTCCTTTCTCTCTTTAGCTGTTTCTCCATATAGTCACAGTTTTGCTGAGCCATTTGAAAGTGAACTGTAGATATCTTGGCACTTCCCTCCTAAATTACTCTTAAGAGAATAAGAATAAAAAAAAATTCATACTAACTCTAACACCATTCACATATTTAAAATGAACAATAATCAGATAGTATTACCCAATATTCATTTTGTATTCAAACTTATCCAATTTTTCCAAATATGTCTCTTACAGTTTTTTTCCTAATACAAGATTCATGCATTGTGTCAGGTTATGTTGGTTCAACCAATTTTGAATACAATTTGGCATTATCTTATGAAATTCTTGCTCATATGCACGAGGAAACATGTAGAAAATGTTCACAGCAACATTGTTCTTAAGAGAAAAAACTTTGGAAGTGCGTGTAGGAAATGGAAAGAGTCAAGGATGCTTTCTCTGGGTCTGGCTTGGCGGCTGGGAGGACAGCGGTGCTTTTGCTGCCGGCCCTACAGTGGTGCACTAGCTTTCTGCTTTCCTAATGCTCCCAGATGCTGTCTGCACCTGCTCAAAATTCTCTCTACCTGCTTTCTGCCTCAAAAACATTAAGAGCATTTTTATTGCTCAGTGATTTCTGACTCTTCCTTTCACAAAACCACGAAATGTAGGAAATGCTGTGGAGGTAATTCCCCTCCAACACCAAAGGACTCTATTACTGGTCCTCATTCTGCACAATCTCTGAGCGTCCTCAGATGGTGTAATGGCTTTTAATTCCAAATGCTGCCTGAAAGACTCTGCCATCATACAGAAGTCATTTTTCCTATAATTATGCCCTGTCTCCTACTATGAAACTTCCCTCACTCCCTGTCCCTAGCCCCTTCGCTTGCTGCAGTGAGAGTTAAAAGCAGCCACCTGTTTTTAACTACTTTCCTTTCTGTGGGGTTTAACTACTTTCCTTTCTGCCTTCTTACATATGTGGGTTACATGTGCAGTGGTGAGATATTTGCTCAGTAGTTAGTTCTCTCTGCTTGCCTACAGTATCATGCATTTGAATGGCTTGGGCCATCTGCTACTGAATACCCTGGCTTATGTATCACCTCTGCAGATTATTTGACTCTTCAGGTTGATGAAGCCTGAAGGATGGGAGGGTGAGGAATAACATAATGATGAATGCCTTATGAGGAATTGCTTAAGGAAATTATACCAGAGGCAAGCTTTCCACATGACATCTCAACCATTGTCTGAGGTGATCACACTGTCATTCCTGAAACAGTTCTCCATTATCTTGTTTACATTATGTACAGCATATCTGATAGTAGTTCTAATGAAGTCAGAGGATAGACACTATGTCAACTGCCCTGAAACTGACTCTTATAACCAAAAGACTAAACAAAGCTGTAGAATGTGGTAGACTGTTTGACATAATCCTTGATGGGCACTAATGCTTTCTTAAGAAGTTACATGAGAATCTTGATCAAGTGTCTTCAAGTATTTTACAGTCTTATCCTAAAAGTCTTTCCAGACTATCATAGACTTCTTGTAATGATGCAAAGTGCTGCTAGTCTCATCACAAATCTTTGAAGGAAGCAGTAAATCCTTCTCTGGACATGGAAGATGTAAAAATGGAATCTTCTAGCATTTCTATACCCACCACATTTGAAACCACAGAGATGGTCTCCAAAAGTGATAGCCACTTGCTGAATAAATTCTTCCATTAGCACATGGAGAAAAGAGCCAAGGATCACTGTTATTCATTATGTGTGATATGTTCTTTTCAGCTTCCTGAGTCTCATTTTGCTATGGGGACACCTGTTTCCTCGAGCTAAATCGGACTGGGGATGATGAGTGACCACATTCATAGTAATATTATTTTCATCACCTCTTTCTCTTACCGTCTACTATAAAACCTCAAATTCCTTTCAAAACGTCCTCAGCTATTTCTAGGAATTGCCAGAAGACACTTCATATATGCTAATGAATAAATTCTCCATGCTATGGTCTGAAGATTTGTATTCCTCCAAAATGTAGATGTTGAAATCCTAACCTGAAAGGTAATAACAGTAGGAAGTGGGGCCTTTGGGAGGTAACCAGTTCATTAGGGTAGAGTCCTCATGAAAGATTAGTGCCCTTATAAGAAGAGACCCCAGGACCGGGCATGGCGGCTCATGCCTGTAATCCCAGCACTTTGGGAGGCCGAGGCAGGTGTTCAAGGAGCCCTGAGCTCAGGAGTTCAAGACCAGCCTGGCCAACATGGTGAAACCCCATCTCTACTGAAAATACAAAAATTAGCTGGATGTGGTGGTGGGCACCTGTAGTCCAAGCTACTCAGGAGGCTAAGGCAGGAGAATTGCTTGAACCTGGGAGGGAAAGGTTGCAGTGAGCTAAGATCATGCCACTGTGCTTCCAACCTGGGTGACAGAGCAAGACTCTGTCAAAAAAACAAAAACAAAAACAAAGAAACAAACAAACCTCCAGAGACATCTCTCTGAACTTCTGCCCCATGTGAGGTTACAGTGAGAGAACAGCCATCTCTAATGAACCAAGTCCTCACCAGACACCAAATCCACTGATGCCTTGATCTTGGACTTCCCAGCCTCCAGAACTGTAAGAAAGAAATGTCTGTTGTTTATAAGCCACCTAGTCTATGGTATTTTTTTATAGCAGCCTGAATAGACTAAGACAATGTGTATATATGCTTGCCAGGGGCTGGCTAGGGGAGTTGGGAGGATGAGAAGTTGTTATTTAATTGGTACAGAGTTTCAGTATTGCAAATGAAAAGAGTTCTGGAAATGATGGTGGTGATGGTTGTACAATGGTGTGAATATACTTAATGTCACTGAACACTTAAAAGTTGTTTAAGTGATATGTTTTAGGTTATGTATGTTTAATTACAGTAAAAAATATTTAAATAAAATAATAAAATATGTGTAACAAGGTTAGTCCAAAAACAAACAAACAAAATCCCTGGGCCTCTGGATAGGTCTGCTTTCCAGAAAGGACTCAATTTAGGCTCAAGTTAGATCTCCAACAGCACCTGCATTCAAGATATTCAAGGTGGGGCTAGCCATCACTGCAGTGATAAAGGGCTATTTTATGGAAGGCCCATTTTCTTCTACCAGTATTTCCACACAGGGATTCCTTCCCAGCATTTCTCAGAAAATTTATATTTCTCTTAATCCCAAGAAAAATCAATCAAGAAGGCAAGAAAATGGGAAAATATGATTCTCCTGTGAGAATTAATGCTTCACAATCACCAGACGGTGGTATCACAATCATCAGACGGTGGTATCACAGTCATCAGATGGTGCTATCAGTTTGAAGGAATTTATGGACACCTAGCTAAAAGCAATAGCAGGAAGTGCTGGCAAGTGGAGCCCAGAACAAGGTGGGCACACAGGAGGTGGGTGGCCGCAGCATCATCCGTCTTGCTTACAGCTGCCCTGGCATAAGTGAGTGTTCTTGGGGCCAGTGTGCTTCTAACAGAAAATCATTGTACAAATAAAATAAATAGTACTAAGTTTTATGCACAGAATACATTATATGAGTCCTGTAAGTGACGTTTCAAGAGGTAACAAGTTTTGAAAGTAAAATAGATACTTCAGTCCATCCTGCTGCATGCTAGTAAGATCAGGGTAAGATCTCCTTGCTAGTAAACTTACTCCTTGCTAGTAAACTTACTAGTAAACTTGCTAGTAAATTTACTAGTAACCAAATGTTACAGTATTTGAATACTACCTAGTAACATTTACTGGTGTTTTCCAGTATTTGAATATTCTCCGTAGACTATAATTTCTTACAAATATTTTACCAGAAAAAAATGCAAAGAGAATATGACATGAATGCTGTCATGGAATGCGTCAATATAAAACTAGAAATTGATCTTAAAGCTGTCAGCATAAGCAGTATTGATTTCAATAGCAAAATCAAAGTCAGGAAAAGAAAACAAAATACTTTTATCTTAAAAAAAAGGAAATGAGGCTGAGCATGGTGGCTCACACTTGTAATGCCAGCACTTTGGGAGGCCGAGGCAGGCAGATCACTTGAGGTCAGGAGTTTGAGACTACCCGGCCAACATGGTGAAACCCCATCTCTACTAGAAATGAAAACATTAACTGGGCATGGTGGGGCACACTTGTAATCCCAGCTACCTGGGAGGCTGAGTCTTGAGAATCACTTGAACCCAGGAGGTGGAGGTTGCAGTGCCAAGACTGCACCACTGCACTCCAGCCTGGGCAATGGAGTGGGACTCCATCTCAAAAATAAAAAAAATAAAAAAGGAAGTGAGCTTAAATGGAGCTGCATGAACCCTAAGATCCAACTTGAAACTGTTTTTGCATGCACTTTTCACAATGCAACCCATGTCGACACAAAGTGAAAGAAATCTTTCTACATCTAAAATGTTTGTCAGGAAACAGAGAGCCCAACTATTGGATGAGGCAGTGAATGTTTGGTGTTCTTTAAATTTTCCATTGGAGAATGGCAACTTTTAAATATTGAATATTGGTAGTATCTTTCCATTTTTAGAGTCATTTTTATTTGACATTTATTTGGTGCTAATGGTCCCTTCTTTAGTAGTATTTCCTATTATCAAATGTTTATATCAAGTAAACAACACTTTTACCTGTTATTTAAATATATAATATTTTCATGATGTATCAGTTAATATAAACTAAGCATATATTACATAGCATAGACTTCTCTATATGGAAAACCCTTGTATAACTCTATTTCAAGTAGAGTAACAATTTATTACTATCGTCAGTCATGATTTTTAAATTCATAAATAAAGTGTTATAAAACTTACAGAATAAGTTATGATTTGAAGAATTCCTGGGGATTGCCAGGGATTCCAATTGCTCATTCTTGAATACTGAATATTAATATCTGTCAGGAATTTGGAAATGCTATTTCCTGCCCATTTATTAATGACAATACATCATAGAGCTTGCACAAAAGTCTAACTCAGTTCAGCTGAACTTCATTTGCCTATGGGTAAATAGGTAGGCTCTGATCTTACTACACACTGCGTATCTAAGGGATTCACTGGATTGAGAAATTACTTGCTGGAAACTAGGCTTTGCAGAAAATTCTTTCAAGTGGTCAAATATTCATACTACTTAGTAATTTTACAAAATAATTAGACATTGTATTTCAACATTTGAGATGTTGAAGATGATAAAAAATTTTTATGAATTTTTTCTGAATGGTTCAAGAAGTTTTATTGCTGGACCTCCTCCATTATGAAATGGCCTCATAGATAACAACGTGGAATCTTCTAGAAGGAGAAAATACATTCTTTGTGACAGATAAAGTTCACAGTTTAAGAAATAATCTCGTTTAACTTCTAAACACATTTGCTCATGAAAATTAAAATAAAAAGTTATTTGGGCCTGCAGATGAGTCCACTTGAATCCATATGAGTCTAGGAGTGCTACCGAGTTGATATTTATCAATGTTTACTGCAATTTGTCATGGCTTTATTGCCCTGCCCTTGCTAGCAATAACTTGAGAAAAATGATTGAATGCTCTATAATAAATATTGAAGAATAATACTTATCTATGTGCTATTATTCAAATTTATTGCCACCTCTATAATTAGGACAAAACTTCTATAATGGGTAAAATATTGTCTTATTCCTGATTCCCTAGAAAGCAGAGCCTGAGGCAAGGATTGAGTCTTGATGCTTCACTTGGCAGGAGCAGTCCCAGAGTAGTGAGAGTGAAAGAGGAAGGAAATGAATCCAAGAAGGAAGGAAAGCAATGCAAGCTCTTGCATGCTACAGTACTGGCCAGGCCTCACAACGAGCTGTGATGACACTCATGGAGCCACACATGTCTAGACAGGCTATACAGAGAAGCTGTGGCTTGGGACCAGCTATGGGAGGAAGTAAGAAGCAAGAATTTCTTTACCCATCTCCTTCCCATATCCTAGTTCCATTTGCCAAAGTTTGCCCCATGGAAACATTTCTGGGTTGCATCATGTGGCTGCTCTAGAAATATAGTCCCATGCCCCACCCTGTGGCATCTCACCCAAGTTCTTAAAGAAGGGGAAAGGCCAGAAGTTTGGGGATAGAGACTGGTTTGTCTGGCTGCGCAATGCCCCCTCTGACTGGTGATCTCCAGGCAGTAGAGCTGTGCAATGCCAAGGAGAGGAGGAAGGCCAGAGCAGCAGCCAACACAGAACAGGCATCATCAGAATCCAGAAGACATGTGTGATGTGCTGGCTCCAAGGATCTCATGTCAGAATGTCAAAGATTGTTTTTGGGTGTTATAGGATGAATAGGGTCCCCTTAAAATGCATGTGTTTAAGCCCTAACTCCCACTACCTTGGAATGGGACTGTATTTGGAGATAGGACCTTTAAAGAGGTAATTAAAGTGAAACAAAATCATTCGGGTGGATCCAAACCAATATGACCGGGTCCTTATAAGAAGAGGCGATTAGGTCACAGATACACACAGAGGGAGGATTGTGTGAGAAGGAAGAAGACAGCTATCTACATGGCAAAGACAGAGGCCTCGGGAGAAATTAACCCTACCAACAGGCTGATCTTGGACTTCCAGCCTCCAGAACCGTAAGATAATAGATAGCTGTCATTTAAACCAACCAAGCTGTTACCCTGTTATGGCAGTCCTCGCTGACTAATAAACAGGGATAGATCAGAAAACAAGAAAACCAAATCCTGCTCTGACTCCCTTTCAGGTTTTTCGCTCATTTGCATTCCCTTGAGGTCCGTTTCTAGAGCAGCCAAATTATTAGTTCTTTGAATCCACCAGAATGAGTGTGGACCTTCTTAATTTTTTTTAATCGAAATGAGAGTCTACAATAAAGCACGAGATGTTTTGCTAGTAGAATACAGCAATACAGTCAAATAGGCATGATATATTTCAATGAATAATTTATGTATTGCACTGGTATTAGCTCAACAATGCTTTTACTACCACTTTCTGGGACATAGCAACAATTATTAATATATTAACACACTGATTATTGAGACGGTGGAGCAACTTCAAGTCATTAAAAGAAATTTAAAAATAATAGAAGTTATAATATATTCTACCAAAAAAAAAAAAAACGAGAATATGCAGAATCCACAGTGATACAAAGAAAAAAATGAGGAAAGCAAAATTGGCTGAAATACCAAACCTTTACATGGCTGTGATGAATGTCAACTTTATACAATTATTGGTTTATTCAGTTCTGTTGCTGCTTCAGGAATCAGAAAAAATCATGTGAATGGAACAAAATATATCTAAAACGATCAAAAATGAGAGACCAAGGGAAGTTCCTGTGCTGTGAACAAGAAAATAGCAAACCAAAGTACTGTTTTATTTATGCATTTTATCAGAGGATTTACTAGTGCCCTACAAACACTCTTTAATTAGACTCATTTACATGATAGCAAGATAAATGAGTATTGTTCTATGCTGCTTTATGTTACTTCTTCTCCCCTTTCTCTGCCCATTAGCTGTCTCTTTTTCATCTGGAAAGTCCTGGGCTTTTTCTCATGCCTCATGTTTTACATTATCTTAATTGCATTTTATTGTTTCTCCATTTAGACAACCTATTTTGAATAATATCAACATTCCTTTGAGTGCCCTTGTAGGAGTCATGGAGTTAGTAGAGAAGGGAAAGAGAAAGCCAGCCCCTGTCCTCAAAGTATTTACTATCTAGAATGAACAAGCACATAGAGGTTAGGGCCAAGTCTATTTAGTTTGCTTACAGTTTCTGCTTACAGAGTCCTGGTGCCAGGTATAAAATGTGAAGGCATTTGGCTCCTCCACTCTGCGCCTTTTCCCTATGCCTCCACCATGTCAAGCTCCCCTTCAACTGTAAAACGAATAAGTAAATTGTGGTATATTTATACAATGGGAAATCATAAAGGAATAAGAATGAAGAATTTACAACTACACTCAACAGCACAGATGAATCTCACACACACAAAGTTGAACAAAAGATACCAGACATTAAAGGGTGCATACTGCGTAACTCATGCTTAATGCACAGAGTGCACAAAAGCAGGCAGGGCTAAGCTCTCTTGGTAGAAGTCAGCAAAGTGGCTACTCTGGGAGTTGGGTAGGGAGAACAGTGCCTTGTTAGGAGCATGAGGTGAGTGGGCCTGAGGTGCAGGTGACATTTTCGTTCTTCATCTGAATGCTGGTTTAAATGGGTATGTTCAGTGTGTGAAAATTCATTGAACTGTACACTTATAATATATGCATGTGTCTCTATGTATATTATACTTCAACACAGAGTTTGTAAAAATGTGATCAAAAGGTGCCCACTAAAACAAAGTTTTTGTAATATTGATAATAACCGGGCTCCCAGTTTTGCAGATTTGTCATAGAAACAGCTAAGAATAATACTTCTTCATGGCCAGCCTCGAAAGGAGACATTGTTTTGTTCAAAATGCTTACCAGGGTCTCCATAGCTAAGTTCCCTTGACATCTTGGCTGACAGAGGAATCTGCAACATAACTGATTTGCTTTTGTATCCTGCACCACTCCCAATGATAGGCTAAAAGCCACAGGAAATTAGGCTAAAATAATGAAAACAGTTGACCCCATTTTTAAAGGCAGCAAAGGGTATGTGGCTAACAAGAACTACAAGTAGGGTGCTAGCTGAATGAAGTAAATGTATTTTTAAATTATTTCTGTTCGATGTGGGAGAAAAATGCCTTTTAAAACACACATCTTGTAGTCTAGCACCCATAAAGCAAGAGAGATCTAATGGATGCACGATCAGGTGGGAAATGAACAACTTGCAAATACAAAAGAGACTGAAAAACCCTGTGTAACACATCTACACAAAAGAAATATACATGGAATCAATTGTGGCAAATTAGCTTTTGTAAAAAAAAAAAAAAAAAAATCTCCTTAAGGAGCAACACAACCGAAAGGGAAATCAATGGAATTTTACAAAATAGAAGATGGTGTTGTATAGTTTAAGATCTATATTTAATTGGTATCATTGGAAGTGTTTGCACTTTGCTTCCACATATATCCAGAGCATGTAGTATTTTAAAACAATTCACAGGTCCAAATTGCAAAATCACAATAATAATAATGTTGTATTATATCAACCAAAGCTAAGCTTCTTAAAACCTGATTAGATACATGCTAAATCATGACATGACAGATACAGAATGAATCCATAATGTTGATTCAAACCAGGACTTAGGAAAATGGTTCAGAATATAAAATTATGGAAAACATTACAGTACATCAAAGCAAAGCAAGTTTAATTAGGCTTAGTTTGATAATTGCCGAAAACAAAGAACTTGCCTCATAGCAGGCTGGTGTAAAATCCAGCAGTAAGTCCAGTTGATTCAAATTAAAACGGCCCTATCTACCATCCCACATGAATCCTTTTATCTGAAGGCTACAGAGAACAAAGAATTACAATTCAGCTCAGAATTACAGAGGGTCGGTCGTTTTATCATCACGGTTTGCTTTGGCTAAAACCTGACTCTGTGTGTTTCACTTCTTTCTTTTTAAAATATGACATATAAGGACTTTAAGGTAAAAGCCAAGTGACTAACTAATACTAGCAAAAGCCAGCAGGTAGGTGTATTTCTTCAGAATATTTACCTCCGAAGGATCCATTTCCAGTTTTCCCCACACAGGAGTCATAGGGGAACAAAATTCATAGTCTTGCAACCAGATTCTCCTCAGTAGTACTGATTTTCTAGATTGGAAATGTAGAAACTGACCTCTCTGAAGAATGATACAATCTCTTCCAAATTTAAATAGATTAGGAACATCCTACTATTAATTGCGGCAAAGTGTTATTGCTATGCTAATTTTTCAAAGTAGAAAACTATAAGAGGAAATCTAGAAGCCAGGAAAAAAGAGGTGAAGAGAGAGTGTTATCAGATCTTACTCCCACCACCACCCCAACCCCATGCCCCTCTCCCCTACCCACCACTGCCTCCCACCCCCACCCCGCCCTGTCCAGACCCTCATCATACATCACCAAGACTGCCGCCAATGTCCCCTCAGTGCTTCCTGACTTTGGGCTCCTCCAGCCACCTACTTTCTTTTTTTTTTTTGAGACGGAGTCTTGCTCTGTTGCCCAGGCTGTAGTTTAGTGGCACAATCTCAGCTCACTGCAACCTCTGCCTCCCAGGTTCAAGCAATTCTCCCGTCTCAGCCTCCTGAGTAGCTGGGACTACAGGTGCCTGCCCACCACCAAACCTGGCTAATTTTTGTATTTTTAGTAGAGATGGGGTTTCATTGTATTGGTCAGCCTGGTCTTGAACTCCTGACCTCAGGCAGCCACCTACTTTCAACACTCTTGCCTGAACTGTAGTTCTGAAAAATAAATATGATCGTATCATCTGCTCACTTATAAAATGTCACTGAAATTTTTTAAATTCAATACTAATATGAAAAACATTCAACCTCACTAATAATAAAAATGCTAATTAGAATAGCAAGTATCATTTTTTGTTTATGAAATGGACACAAATGTCAAAAAAATGATTAGTGCTGACAAGGGAGTTATGGAAGAGGCACATTTATAAATATCGCTAGTGAAAGCACCAATTAGAACAGGCTTTTTGAAAATCAATTTGACCATATAATATTATGAGCATTCAAAAGACTGCTATACGCTTTGACCCTACTTCTAAGAATTTATCCTAAAAAGTAATCAAAGATATGAACAAAGATTTATGTAGAAGAATAATCATGGCCGGTTAAAGTTGTGACCATTAGACTCTGCTAAGGATGGCAATTTTAACCTGCCATGATTCATTAAGAAAATGTGGCCATAAGGCCACCCCAAGACAGATGGGGCATCCTAGGGCAGAACTCTGAGGACAAGAAGTTCAACAGCTAGCACTGTTTGTGCATACGTTCATTCACCGGTCTCCAGGGCAAGAGAGAAGATGAAGCTGAGGGTTAAGGTCAGGGTACAGGAGTAGATGAGAAGGAGCAAGTTGTCCTGATTTGTTGCTGACACTGCATTCAAAAATGTACTGACTTTCAAATTATACATACCCATAATAAAGAATTGAAGTAATATAGAAAATACAAAATAAAGATTTAGAATTTAGCCTGAAGACCACCACATAAAGTTTTGTTTGTTTGTTTGTTTGTTTGTTTGAGACAGGGTCTAGCTCTTTCACCCAGGCTGGAGTGCAGTGGCACAATCTAAGCTCACCACAACCTCCACCTCCTGGGCTCAAGCAATCCTCTCACCTCAGCCTTCCAGGCTTCCAGATAGCTGGGACTACAGGCATGTGCCACCATGTCCGGCTAATTTTTGTATTTTTTTGTAGAGCCAGGGGTTTGCCATTTTGCCTAGGTTGGTCTCAAACTCTTGGGCTTAAGGGATCTTCCCTCCTTGACCTCCAAAAGTGTTGGGATTACAGGCGTGAGCCACCACGCTCAGTGAAATAAATTATTATTCATATTAAAGTGCACTTCATTCCAGGCAGTTCTCCATGCATATGTAGACTAGCTGGAGAAATACCTTTATAAAAATAGGATTATAATATGACTTCTATTTTTATTAAAAAGTATTACATTTAATTTTACTTTAACAGAAGGAATAGCAAATAAAGTGAAACTAAAGAAATTGCTGAAGTCTAGATAAATATTTTTTCACCACCAGAGGTAATATTTAATAAAATATCTCTCCAAGGTTAAGGTAAAAAAATATTGGAGTCATTTAGTTTAAGATATGTACATGCTTTAATCTTAGACAGTATCAATACTGTCTGTAATTAAAGATAAGGAACTAGCAGTCTTATATTTCCTTTTACCTTCTCATTTTTTGTAAGCTCTATTATTCTTCTTTTAATTGGAAGTGTATATAATAATATTGACGTTCTGCTCTATTATTATAATTCTTACAATCGTTTGGTCTTAGTTCTGTGTTTAAATTTATTGTTTAGAGAAGCATATATATGTAGTAAGGCTTTTTTAAGAAGCAAGAGAATGCTAGACACAAGAGTCAAGAGAATCATGTTTTCCATTTGAGGATGTAAAGTGATGAGGGCAAGAAGGACAGATAGTTCACTCCAAATGCACTGGGCAGAATGTTCACAATTGTTCATGTGTTTATTTCCAATCTGTTTTTATACACACATTAGCAAAACTGGAAGCTTGGTAACTATTGATACCTTCAAAGTGCTGAGAGTAAAACAACTGTCAACCTAGAATTATATACCCAGCAAAACTATCTTTCAAGAATGAGAGTACAATAAAGACACTTTCAAATAAACAAAAATGAGATACTTTCTAGCAGCAGTCCTCTGTTAAAGAGACTTCTAAAATATAAATTTTAGGAATAAGGAAAATGACACTAGCGGGGAAGTCTGAGATGAAAGAAAAAAAGGAAAAAAAAGAAATTGATATACACGGAGGTGAACCTAAGCTAATAATTTCTATTAAAAATGAGTGAACACTTCCCAACTTATCTATGAGGTCTGGTATGACCTTGATATCTATGTCAGATAAGGGCAATATTAAAAAGAAAATTATATTCCTATCAATATCCCAATGCCATTTTTACAGAAATAGAAAAATCTATTCTAAAAGTGACGCGAATCTCCAATGACCCTGAATAACCAAAGTAATTTTGAAAAAGAGCAAAGTTGGAGATCTCACTCTTCCTGATTCCAAAATAGAGCTACCTTAATCAAAATAGTATGTTACTGGCGTAAAGATAGGCATATAGAACAATGGAATAGAATCGAAAGACCTGAAATAAACCCTCATGTGTGTGGCCAAACAATTTTTGACAAGGGTGCCAAGACCACTCAGTGGGAAAAGAATAGTTTCTTCAACAAATGGCATTGGGAACCCTGGATATCCACATGCAATAGAATGAAGTTGGACCCTTACCATACACCATGTACAAAAATCAACTCAAAATAGATTAAAAGTAAGATCTAAAACTATAAAACTCCCAGAAAAAAACATGGGAGAATAAAGAAAATAAAACATAAGGGAAAAGCTTCATGACATTGGATCTAGCAATGATTTCTTGAATATGACACGAAAAGCACATGCAATAAAAGCAAATATAGACAAATGGGACTACCCTAAACTTAAAAGCTTCTACACATCACAGGAAACAATCAACAGAATATCTGTCTATATACAGAATGGGAGAAAATATTTTCAAATCATATATCTGATAAGGGATTAATATCCAGAATATATGAAGAACTCTTACAACTGAACAACAAATAAATAATCCTATTTAAACATGGGTAAAGGATTTTAGTAGATAATTCTCCAAATGGCCAATGAATAAATGAAAAGATGTTCAACATCACTAATCATTAGAGAGATGCAAATTAAAACCATAATGAGATATCATCTCACATTCATTAGGATGGTCCCCATAAAAAAAAAAACAGAAAATAATGAGTGTTGGTAAGGATGTGGAGAAATTGGAACACTCATGCAGTGTTGGTGAGAATGTAAAATGCTGTAGCCACTATGAAAAACAATATGGAGGCTCCTCAAAAAATAAAAAATAGAATTACCACATGATCCAGCAATCCCACTACTGGGTGCAAAGCCAAAATAACTGAAAGTATGATCTCAAAGAAGAATTTGCACACCTGTGTTCATTGCAGCATTAGTCACAATAGCCAAAAGGTAGAAGCAACCCAAATATCCATTGGCAGATGAAAGAACAAAGAAAATGTGGTCTAGCCATACAATAGAATATTATTGTGTCTTTAAAAGGACAGAAATCCTGACACATGCTATAACATGGATGAACCATAGGACATTATGCTAAGTGAAACAAGCATAATATGAAGTACCTACAGTAGTTGAATTCATGGAAACAGAAAATAGAATGGTTGTTTTCTAGGAACTAAGAGGAGGACAAAAACGGAGTTGTTGTTCAATGGATAGAAAGTTTCAGTTTTGCAAGATGAAAACAGTTCTGGAGATCATTGCAAAAAATATGAATATACTTCATACTACTGAACTGTACACTTTAAAATGCTAAAATTTTATGCGTGTGTGGTTTTTTTTTTGTTTTTTTTTTTTTTTTTGAGACAGAGTCTTGCTCTGTCATCCAGGCTGGAGTACAGTGACATGGTCTTGGCTCACTGCAAGCTCCACCTCCCATGTTCATGCCATTCTCCTGCCTCAGCCTCCCAAGTAGCTGGGACTACTGGCACCTGCCACCACGCCCAACTAATTTTTTTGTATTTTTAGTAGAGACGGGGTTTCACCTTGTTAGCCAGGATGGTCTTGATCTCCTGACCTCGTGATCCACCCACCTCAGCCTCCCAAAGTGTTGGGATTACAGGCGTGAGCCACCACGCCCGGCCTATGTGTTTTTTAAAATGAAAAATTCTCCCAGGAATACAAAGACACTTAACTTAGGAAATCTAAAAACATAATCCCCACGTTACAAAATTAAAGGGGAAAAGTCACATAATCACCTCGTAGATGTAAAAACAGAGTTTGATAAAATGTAACCTGCTTATTACCTCTCTAACTTATTATCATTCTGCTTATTACCTCTCTAACTCCATCTCCTGCTAGTCTTTCCCTGATTTCTTCGGTTCCAGGCATGCTAGTCCCCTTGCTATTTCTTAAGTCATGCACATTCTCACCTCCATCTTTGCACCTGCTATCCCTCTGTCTGGAATGCTTTCCTGACACATATGTGCCTAGCCTGCTTCCCTGGCTACTTCAAGCATTTGCTCTAATAGTGCCTTCTCAAGGCCTTCCCTTGCCACCCTATTTGAAACTGCATCTCCCAGCCCCAGCACCTCCGCCCCCTTCCCTTGCCTCAGTTTTCTCCATAGCATTTATCACCTGCTAGTACACTACATTTATTTATTGTGTTTTCCTCCACTATACTGCAAGCTTCATGAGGGCAGGACTTTCTGTCTGTTTAGTTTGGAGAGGAATCGCTGGTGCTTAGACAGATGCACTAGATAAGTACTCAATAAATATTTATTGCATGAATGCATAAAAGATAAATTCTTTTGGAAGAACAGAAACAGAACAGACTTGATTTTCTGGATAAAGGATATCATTACTAAAATCCTTCAGCAAACATCATGGCTAATGATGAAATGTTAAATACTTTCTCTTGAAAATTATGAGTAAGTTAAAAATGCCCAATATCCCTGCTTCTATTACAGGTTTTACTAGGGAGTTCTAGCCACTATAGGCAAATGAAGGAGAAAATGGGATTAGGGGAAACAAATTTCTCTTTATTCAGAGATATGATTATTCACATACAAAACCCTTTAAAGTTATAGATTATTTAAATAAATTATTAGAATTAATAAGAGGGTAGAATAAAAGATGAATGTAAAAATCAATCATATTTTTATATATCTATAACAGAAAGATGATTTAAGAAAAAACACCATTCACGATGACAGAAATGCGTCTATGAAATCATCAAAAGGCAACAACTTTATAGAGAAAAATTTAATGAAAATTGCTCAACTAAATGTAGAGACATACCATGTTTATGATTAGGGAGACTCACTATTGCAAATTGACATATATATTTAATGCAATTCCAATCAAAATCCCAACAGTGATTTTTGATATATTTGATAACCCAATTCTAAAATTTATGTGGAAGAGCAGAATCCCAAAAATAACCAAGACGCTCTTGAAGATGCTTAAGATGCTGAGCTAGCCCAAACAATATTGTCACCAAGCACAAAGCTAAAGTAATGAAAACAGTGTGGTACTGGCATTGGTGTAGACAATTTAAAAATGAAATAGAAAAAAATGTTAGCAGCAAAGCTTATCATAGGGTATGTAGATTCTTGAAATACAATAGCCATGGCATGGTGGATCAACCGGGTCGGGAAAAAAATATAATTGAATCTCAATCTCACATACTATATATGACATTCAATTCCTGATTATTTTATTTTTATTTTTTAATTTTTTTTGGAGACAAGAGTCTCATTCTGTTGCCCAGGGTGAAGTGCAGTGGTGCAATCTTGGCTCACTGCAACCTCCACCTCCCAGGTTCAAACGTTTCTCCTGCCTTAGCCTCCTGAGTAGCTGGGATTACAGGCACCTGCCATCATACCCGGCTAATTTTTGTATTTTTAGTAGAGACAGGGTTTCACCATGTTGCCCAGGCTGGTCTTGGGCATAGTGGCAGGCGCCTATAATGCCAGCTACTCAGGAGCCTGAGGCACAAGAATTGCTTGAACCCAGGAGGCGGAGGTTGCAGTGAGCCAAGATTGCACTAATGCACTCCAGCCTGGGTGACACAGCAAGACTCTGTCTCAATAAATAAATAAAATGCTGATAGTAATAATTTTTGTTTGTTTGTTTCACTTATTTTTATTTTTTAGTGTTGTTAATTTCATTGGGTATTGTGGGAGGGTGATTCTATGATCCAGTTTCACTTGGCCTTCTTTACTTAAATGTCTTCCATAGCCCCAGTATTAACATTCTGATGCTGGGTCACACATCTCTAGAACCTGCTAATACTTATTAGTGTTTTTAACCCAAGAAACTGTATTAGAGACAAATTTCTCTATCACATATTGTCAGGTTGAGACCAAAATAGAACGAATTGAGAAAAGAAATATATGCATTTACTTAAGTCTATTCTTAACAACAATATGGAACGTTGGAACGTTGCCTTTGGAGCTCCCCTGAGGAGTCCACACAATCCACTTTATAATAGCTCTTAAGGATCATTATTTAAAGTCCTCTGTTGATCTGGCCCAACCCTAAGTGTCCTTGTTTTATAAGCATGTGGAGTTATGAGATTTTGAATTAATCAATTAGTGTTCACTGGGTACCTACTATGTGCTCAACTCTGCACCCAGTGCTATGGGAGAGGCTCTGTTCTCAGTGCCGTGAGGGACTAGCTAAAAGTATTCGACAGTCTCTGACCTTCCAGAATCTACCAGTTGGGGAGATAAGATGTATTCGCCCAAAACATTGTATAACAGTTCAAAACAGGAGATAAATACTCCACTCTGGGCTCAGACTCTGTCTAAAGGTTTGATTAGACTGATTAAATCCATTGGGAAGGCCCTGAGAGGTCATTTTGTCCAACTTCCCACATTGAAGCACTCATGATAAATGTCTATTTGTTGAGCAGCCATTGCCGGTCATTAACTGATAACTGCAACTGACACTTTAAAAATGGGAAATTATTGGGCTCTTTGTGTGTGAAAGGTTTTTGAACTACCTATTAAGCCAACCAGTTTTCCCTCAGAAGCTTATAAAACTGTCATTTTGAGTCACACTGAGCCAGCTACAGGGTCGTTGATTGCTACCCTGGTGCAGGGGGACAAAAGTTAACTTATGTTGAGCAAGAGGTTGGCTGCAACGAGCCCCACTACCCTTCTATCTTCCCTAAAACTTAACATGTACCTGTCTTCCATGAATCAAAGTCGATATTTTTCAACATAAATTTCAGCGTATGTGACAATGCAGTGTAAAAAAAAAGGTGGAACCAGCCCTGGGTTCAGAATCTAGCTCTGCATTTTCTAGCTCTGTGACCTTGTTCCTCAAGTTTCTTATATGCAAAATGGAGCTAGGAAGACCTGGAGGTTGTCCTGGGGATTCACGTAGTAGTGTGGGGAGACCACAGGGCACTGAGCAGTACTCGGTAACTATTAATGCTCTTGCCTTCTTTTGTTTTTGTTTGTTTGTTTATTTTTAAAGACAGAGTCTTGCTCTATCTCCCAGACTGGAGTGCAGTGGTGCAATCATAATCATAATTCACTGCAGCCCTGAACTCCTGGGCTCAAGCGTTCCTCCTGCCTCAGCCTCCTGAGTAGCTAGGACTATAGGCAGACACCACCATGCCCAGCTAATTTGTTGCTCTGGCTGGTCTTGAACTCCTGGATTCAAGCAATCCTCCCTACTCGACCTTCCAAAGCACTGGTATTCCAGTTAAGAGCCACTGCACCCCACTTACTCCCTTCTTTTTGTGAGAATTTTTTTACATCTATAGGCATAATGGGGCCCACAAATTTTAGAATTCATTCATTCAGTATTCATTCTAGGATTTCATTCATTAAGTATTTCTAAAACCTTTGCTGAATCCATGATATTGTAGCGGTATAGAGGGTAGAGAGAGACAGAGTGATGAGATTAATGAGGTCTTTATGAAGGATGTAAAAAACCAGAGCTGAAGCTTAACGAATATTCAGGCTTTCGGTAGGCTGCAAAGAAAGGAGAGAACAAGGTTGAGCTGGGGCCTCCGTGAGCAAAGTTGAGAAGTGGGAATGAATGTGCCATTCCCTAGCGTATTAGTCTGTTTTCGTGCTGCTGATAAAGACATACCTGAGACTGGGTAATTTACAAAGAAAAAGAGGTTTAATAGACTCACAGTTCTACGTGGCTAGGGAGGCCTCACAATCATGGCAGAGGGCAGAAATCACATCTTCCATGGCGGCAGGCAAGAGAGAATGAGAGCAAAGTGAAAGGGGAAACCCCTTATAAAACCGTCAGATCTCATGAGACTTATTCATTACCACGAGAACAGTATGGGGGAAACCACCCCCATGATTCAATGATCTCCCACTGCGTCTCTCCCACAACATTTGGGAATTATGGGAGTTACAATTTAAGGTGAGATTTGGGTGGGCACAGCCAAACCCCATCACATGGTTTAAGGAGGTGGACAATCTTACTCTAGCAAGAAGCTGTATGACAGATGCACATGACAGCAATAACTGAAGCACACCCTAAGAATGACCCTATGCTCTAAGAAGAGTGTGTGTTCAGAGTTCCCAGCTAAGGAATCTGGGAGTGGCCAACCTGGAGATTCACTGTCTCTACGAAAGGCAACCGAACCCCTGTTCCATTCCTTGGAAGGCAGGCCATGTAGGGGATGGAGGCCTTTTTTGGGGGTGGGTTAAATGTAGGTTGCTAGGTAAAACGTGCTGAGTTAAAATTGCTACATATATGCTTTCTTTCTTTCTTTTTTTTTTTTTTTGAGACGGAGTCTCGCTCTGTCGCCCAGGCTGGAGTGCAGTGGCACCATCTCCGCTCACTGCAAGCTCCGCCTCCCGGGTTCACGCCATTCTCCTGCCTCAGCCTCCAGAGTAGCTGGGACTACAGGCGCCCACCACCACGCCCGGGTGATTTTTTTTTCGTATTTTTAGTAGAGACGGGGTTTCACCATGTTAGCCAGGATTGTCATGATCTCCTGACCTCATGATCTTCCTATCTCGGCCTCCCAAAATGCTAGGATTTCAGGCATGAGCCACCGCGCCCGGCCTGTATATATGCTTTCTACAAGAAGTAGCACTTCTCCTATCCAGCCTGCCACACTGGACAGCCCGTTTGTGAGTCCTCAATAAACCTCATGTCTCATGCTGGCTCCAGGTCTCTTCTTCGGCCTATTGGAGTCAATAGGGGTTGACAGAAGCAAGGCAAAGGAATAATCATTTTTGAGAACGTGCTGTGTGCCAAGCACCTTTGCAGGCTCATTTAGGTAAATTATTGCACACAGTCCTCCCAACAAGTCTATGAAGTGGATATATGTATCCATTCCACAATTATTTATTGAGCGGCTATAACTTTATTTGCAAGAAATTAGAAGTTAAACTTGCTAGAGGCCATGCAGTCGACAAGTAGTAGAACTAGAATCCACACCCAGAGCTGCCTGCACCAAGCTTATGCTTCCTCCATCTACAAGTTGCCAACTCCATATGAGGAATAGTGTATAGATAATTAGAGTGTATATTAGGGTTCTCCAGAGAGACAGAACCAACAGAACCAACAGGAGATACATATATCTAGAGAGAGAGAGAGAAAGAGAGATGATAAGATATTGGCTCACATGATTATAGAGGCCAAGAAGTCCCATGATCTGCCATCTGCAGCTGGAGACCCAGCAAAGTCAGTGGTGCAGTTTGAAGCCCTCCTGAGAGCCAAAGACCTAATTCTGTAGACTCCAGTCCAAGTCTGAGGGCCTGAGAACTAGGAGTGCCAAAGGCAAGAAGAAATGAACGTTCCAGCTCACGCAGTCAGAGAATGAATTTTACCTTCCTTATTCTTTTTGTTCCAAGCCTTCAACAAACTGGATGATGTTCAGGCACTGGGAAGGGCTAAGTGCTTTCCTCAGTCTACCAATTTAAATGCTGACCTCTTTTGGAAACACCCCAACAGACACACCCAGAAAGAATTTTAACCAGATGTTTGGGCATCCCATGGGACAGTAAAGGTGACACAGAAAATTAACCATCACAGGGTATATTACAGTGGACTAGAAACCCAGATAGATGAGTCTATAATTTTTGCTGCAGACAGAAGCCACTGAATGTCCAGGTAAATAGTAGGTGGTTATTCCAGTCCCCTCTTAATTGAATTATAAGCGCAGTAGCTAGCCATGTACATGTACCTCATAGACCGATGATTATAAAAATGGTAAGATATAGTTGCCATTCATCCAGATTATAGGTGACATGGCAGTGGAATGCCCAATCCTATACTGCATCCCGTATTGGCAGAAAGAGAAATGTTTTATAAAGCACATTATTGGGCTGATTGATGAAACTGGAATAAGGATAGAAATTTGATGAAAAGTATTCTATCAATGTGAAATTTGCTGAACTTGATTACTACGTTATGGTAAAATAATAGAATAGCCCTATTCTTAGGAAATAAACACTGAAATATTAATGGATAAGGGCTGAATTGAATGCCACTCATTCTCAAATGGTTCAGAAAAATTTTATGAATATATGTATACATACATAGAGAGAGAGAGACTATTCCTATACTTGCAACTTCTCTACAAATTTTCAGTTATTTCCAAATAAAAAATTTCAAAAAGAATGATATGATATTTATGGCCACTTTTATTTTTAAGATTTAGGAATTAGTGCCTTGGTCAAATATCTAAGGCCTAAGGATGAATTACTTTTTGAAATAAAAATCTAGTATAATACTTTTTTCTTCTTTAAAAAAAATCAAATGTGTTCAGGATGCAGAAAGAAAGAGGAATTTAATTAGCACCTAGTGTGTTCTAGGCCCTTTACCAAATGTTCTCAATCTTCCAAACACGCCTTCAAAGTGGATTTAATCCCCATTTTTGAAATCATGAAACTAGGTTCAAAGGACTCAAAGTTTCTAAGGTAAGTGGTGAAACTGCATTTGAATCCAGGTTTATTGAACATTCATAATGTCAAGTTGAATGCTCATCACTAAATATAAGGTATGAGAATATCACAATCATCTGATTATTCATAGGTAAAGTGAAAGTGCATTTGTATAAAACATATTACCTTTGATATTGAACAAATGCTGGACAATATCCACCCTTTTCCTGGGGTCATAGTTAGGATTATTTGCCATTGTTTTACAAGGTGTCCCTTCTGAAGCTTTGATGAATGAGGTAAATCACCAACTAAAGCAGCTGAGTCACAAAGCCAAGGGAGTTCTAGCTCCAGCAGAAACTCCCAGCAGGAACCTCACCTGCTAACGGGTGGCTCACCCACCCATTAGATCCCAACCATCACTCTGCATCACACACACGTGCACATGCACACGTATGCACGTGCACGCATACACAACACCCTCCATGTGTACTGCACTTAGTCCCTTACTCCCTGTATTCATCAGGGCTTTCCAGAAAACTGAACCAATAGAATATCTATAGATGTATAGAAAGACTTATTATGAGGGCTTGGCTCACACAATCACCGAAGCCAAAAAGTGTCATAATTTGCCATGTGCAAGCTGGAGGCCCAAGAAAGCCAGTGGTGTCCTTCCAGTCCAAGCCCAAAGGCTGAGAACCAGGAAACTGACAGTGTAAGTCCCAGTCTGAGGTGAAAACCCCCAAACCAGGAGTGCTGATGGCCAGGGGCAGGAGGAGATGGACGTCCCAGGTCCAGAAGAGAAAGTGATTTCCTCCTTCCTCTGCCTTTTTGTTCTATTTGAGCCCACAACAGACTGGATGCTGCCCACCCATATTGGTGAGGGTGGGTCTTCTTTACTCCATCTACTGAGTAAAATGGTAATGTCTTCCAGAAGCACCCTCAACAGACATGCCTAGAAACAATGTGTTACCAGCTATCTAGGCATCCCTTGGCCCAGTCGACTTGACACATAGAAGTCAACCAACACACACCCTACCCACCCAAACCTATACACTCCCAGCTGGAGACACTGTCCTTCCCACCCCATCAGCACCTGTTATCGAGGGCCACAGGAGCTCAGTCCATAGTGACTCAGGACCACCCAGTGTCCCATCTCCACAGGTAATTTCACCCAACAATGCACTTCACCGATTCCATTTCCTTTGTCGCTTTCTCCACTGTGATTCCAAACAGACTTAAATGATGTTAAACCAGGCTAAGAGTGTGTTTGGAGGGAAGATAGAATAGAATTGAATGTAAGAAGTGTCAGTTATCACAGACTTGAGTTCATCTTTTCCCTGCCACGGTGGCATTTGAAATTTTTCTATTACTCATTTAGATTCCAATCTCTGAGCTTCCCTCTTCTTTCTTCCAGCTTCTAAGTCAAAGAGATTTTTCTCAGCAAAATAACCCTTCAGTTACTACCAGGGACAGACTGGTATGTGGGCTAGAACAGATGTACAAGACAAGCTTTACAGGCATTTTAAAGGGTTCAGTGTCAAGATAAAATTTATCTAATACGGCATTTCCTCTGAAGTGCAATTTATTATCCCTTAGATGTTGAACCCCTTATAAATATTAGATTTCCTTTTTTCACAAACCCTGTGTGTTATTTTACCCTTGGTTCAGGATGGGCTTTGAAATTAGATTGACTTGTTTCATTTCTGTCTGTCAATTCCCTTTCTTTACTTCCAATTCTATTTTTTTTCCCTTTGCCTTGAAATGCAATGTATCTTCTAACACTTTGAAAAACAATGTTGATTAGAATTTGCCACTTTTGTGGAAGCTGTTTGTTCCAAAGTGCCTTTCAGCCCATCCACATTCATGAAGTGCCTCCTGGTGAACCCACATCCTAGGAAAACTGATGGTGACCGCAGAGTCACCGTGTGTGTGCCCGCTTGTGACAGTATCTCTGATATCATGAGGCCTTTGCTGTGGCTAAGGGAAGAAACCCAGTTCCTTCTAAAGTTATGAAGACCAACGATCATAGAATATTAGAGCTCAAAGCTGTCATCCTTGTCAGCTGATTCTACGGTAGCAACACCAAGGAAAAGAGTCGTGGTCACAGAGCGTGATCCCAGAAAAGGATGATGGGGTCTTGACCCACAGAGGACGCCAGGTCATATCACAGTAGCATGTCCAAACAGGTTGACCCAGCCAGGACCTCCTGTGGTAGGAATTAGAAACCCCAGCTCATTACCCACGGATGTCAGAGATCAGGGGGAGATGCATGAAGGCGCAGTGGCTGAGAAAAGCACACCAGAGGGTAGTTGAAGCAAATGCTGGAAATGTGCGCATGGCCTCCGCGGCTTGTGTTCTCTTTACAATGCCTTGGAAGGGGCAGAATTCAGAGACCTTCAGCCTGATTCGCGTGCTCCTCGTGAGGCATTCTGTGGCTTCCCCAAATGAAATTAATCACTGGCTCCCGATACTCCGGCAGCACTTTGTTGCCTTATTTACAGCCCTTGAAATAATGGATGTGGAAGTGCTTTGTAAGCTGAAAAGCACTGTACAAATGTCAGATGTTGGGAGTTTGGCAGGGGAGCAATAGATAATGCATCTCTTCCATTCCTGAGTCAGGGAGCGATTGAGAGCGAGGCACCGGAGCTAGCCAGACGGAGGGCGACAGTCAGGCTGATGACGGATAGCAGCTGGCTCAGATCACAGCCCCCCTGAACTCGCCCACACTTCGCCCAGAATTCAACGGATCCACCCAGCCAAGGCCAATTGCACGCACACTGGAGACAGGCTGAGGAAGGAGTCCAAGCCCCTGGGGGTCCTGGGCGGGGAAGCAGAGCGAAGCCAGAAAGACAGAGGGAAACAGGAAGGATGAGCACAGAGGGCTTCCTGTGCTTCATGCTGTACACATAGTGGGCCTGGGCTGATGCCGAGGACATAGAGATAAATGAGGCCTCAGGGAGCTTATCATCTAGTAGACATTGTTAACAGTCTAAATGGGATAGCCATAGAAGCATGAGGAAGGGTGAAATTCATCCAGCCTGGGTGAGCTGGGGAAGGTTTCACAGAGCGGCTGATAATTGAATTGGCTTTTGGAGTATGAGTAAAAGCTCACCCGATGTAGAAGAGAAGGGAAAGGAAGCAGCAGGACAAACAGGAAAGCTCACACCCTTGCTGGAGTGAAATAGACATGAATAAATGAACACACAAAGGCATGTGAATATACAAAAATATATACCATCCTATCTGAGTTTTCTATACACCAAGATTGAAGTTCAAATTCAGAGTAATATCCATGCTTTTGGGGCCTGACGTGGTGGCTCATGCCTGTAATTCTAGCGCTTTGGGAGGCTGAGGCAGGAGGATTGTTTGAGGCCAGGAGTTGGAGGCTGTGGTAAGCTGTGATCGAGCCACTACACACTCCAGCCTGGGTGATAAAGCAAGACTCTGTCTCAAAAAAAAAAAAAAAAGAAAGAGAAGAAAAAGAAAAAAAGCCGTGCTTTTTATCTTAAGAAAAAGCCAAACAGTTTTGTTTTCTAATCCTACTTTACCATAT